>NC_000002.12:206277496-206580527 GCF_000001405.40 Homo sapiens | reverse complement strand
AGCTAATAAATGCAATACACCACATAAACAGAATTAAAAACAAAAATCACATGATCATCTCAATAGGTGCAGAAAAAGCATTTGACAAAATCCAGCATCCCTTTATCATTAAAACTCTCAGCAAAATCGGCATACAAGGGACATACCTCAATGTAATAAAAGCCATCTGTGACAAACCCACAGCCAGCATAATACTGAATGGGGAAAAGTTGAAAGCATTCCCTCTGAGAATTGGAACAAGACAAGGATGCCCACTCTCACCACTCTTCTTCAACATAGTACTGAAAGTCCTAGCCAGAGCAATCAGACAAGAGAAAGAAAGAAAGGGCATCCAAGTCAGTAAAGAGGAAGTCAGACTGTCACTGTTTGCTGATGATATGATTGTTTACCTTGAAAACCCTAAGGACTCCTCTAGAAAGCTCCTAGAACTGATAAAAGAATTCAGCAAAGTTTCCAGATACAAGATTAATGTAAACAAATCAGTAGCTCTTCTATACACCAACAGCGATCAATCAGAGAATCAAATCAAGAACTCAACCCCTTTTACAATAGCTGCAAAAAAAAAAAATACTTAGGAATATACCTAACAAAGGGTCAAAAAACCTCTATACTAAAACACTGCTGAAAGAAATCATGGATGACACAAACAAATGGAAATACATCCCATGCTCACAGATGGGTAGAATCAATATTTGAAGACGAGCATACTGCCAAAAGCAATCTACAAATTCAACACAATCCCCATCAGAATACCACCATCATTCTTCACAGAATTAGCAAAAACAATTCTAAAACTAATATGGAACCAAAAAAGAGCCCACATAGCCAAAGCAAGACTAAGCAAAAGAACAAATCTGGAGGCATTGCATTACCTGATTTCAAACTATACTGTAAGGCCATAGTCACCAAAACAGCATGGCACTGGTATAAAAATAGGCATATAGACCAATGGCATATAGAACCCAGAAATAAACCCAAATACTTACAGCCAACTGATCTTTGATAAAGCAAACAAAACATAAAGTGGGGAAAAGGACACCCTTTTCAATAAATGGTGCTGGGATAAATGGCTAGCCACATGTAGGAGAATGAAACTGGATCTTCATCTCTCACCTTAAAGAAAAATCAACTCAAGATGGATTAAGGACTTAAACCTAAGACCTGAAACTATAAAAATTCTAGAAGAAAACATTGAAAAACCCTTCTAGACATTGGCTTATAGGCAAAGATTTCATGACCAAGAACCCAAAAGGAAATGCAATAAAAACAAAGATAAATAGTTGGGACCTAATTAAACTAAAGAACTTTTGCATGGCAAAAGGAAAAGTCAGCAGAGTAAAGAGACAACCCAAAGAATGGGAGAAAATCTTCATAATCTATGCATCTAACAAAGAAATAATATCCAGAATCTACAATGAACTCAAACAAATCAGTAAGAAAAAAAACAATCCCATCAAAAAGTGGGCTAAGGATAGACAATTCTCAAAAGAAGATATACAAATGGCCAACAAACATATGAAAAGATGCTCAACATCACTAATGATCAGGGAAATGCAAATCAAAATCACAATGCAATACCACCTTACTCCTGCAAGAATGGCCATAATAAAAAAATAAAAAAACAGTAGACACTGGCGTGGATGCAGTGAACAGGGAACACTTCTACACTGCTGGTGGGAATGTAAACTAGTACCGCCACTATGGAAAACAGTGTGGAGATTCCTTAAACAGCTAAAAATAGATCTATTTGATCCAGGAATCCCACTACTGGGTATCTACCCCGAGGAAAAGACGTCATTATTCAAAAAAGATACTTGCGCACAGATGTTTATAGTAGCACAATTCACAACTGCAAAATCATGGAACCACCCCAAATGACCATCAACCAACCCAAATGCCCATCAATCAATGAGTGGATAAAGAAACTGTAGTGTGTGTGTATGTACATACATACATATATATATATATGATGGAATGCTACATAGTCATAAAAAGGAATGGATTTACAGCATTTGCAGTGACCTGGATGAGAGTGGAGACTATTATTCTAAGTGATGTCACTCAGGAATGGAAAACCAAGCATCATATGTTCTCGCTGATATGTGGTAGCTAAGTAGTGACGCAAAGACATGATAATGATACAATGGACTTTGGGGACTTGGGGGGAATTGGGGAGGGGGGTGAGGGATAAAAGACTACAAATATGGTGCAGTGTATACTGCTCGGGTGATGGATGCACCAAAATCTCACAAATCACCACTAAAGAACCTACTCATGTAACCAAATACCACCTGTACCCCAAACACTTATGGAAAAATAAATAAATAGATTTGTAATGTTAAAAAATAAATAAAACTAACACAACCACAGTCAACAGTAATGCAAAAGCAATATTGCTATTAGAAAAAGCACATCAGGATCTAAAATTAATTTATCAGATTTTACTTTTGTGATGTTTCAGTTAGAAAAAAACCTTGTGCAGCCAAAAAACACATGAAAAAATGCTCATCATCACTGGCCATCAGAGAAATGCAAATCAAAACCACAATGAGATATCATCTCACACCAGTTAGAATGGCAATCATTAAAAAGTCAGGAAACAACAGGTGCTGGAGAGGATGTGGAGAAATAGGAACACTTTTACACTGTTGGTGGGACTGTAAACTAGTTCAACCATTGTGGAAGTCAGTGTGGTGATTCCTCAGGGATCTAGAACTAGAAATACCATTTGACCAAGCCATCCCATTACTGGGTATATACCCAAAGGACTATAAATCATGCTGCTATAAAGACACATGCACACGTATGTTTATTGTGGCACTATTCACAATAGCAAAGACTTGGAACCAACCCAAATGTCCAACAATGATAGACTGGATTAAGAAAATGTGGCACATATACACCATGGAATACTATGCAGCCATGAAAAATGATGAGTTCATGTCCTTTGTAGGGACATGGATGAAACTGGAAATCATCATTCTCAGTAAACTATCGCAAGAACAAAAAACCAAACACTGCATATTCTCACTCATAGGTGGGAACTGAACAATGAGATCACATGGACACAGGAAGGGGAACATCAGACTCTGGGGACTGTTGTGGGGTGGGGGGAGGGGGGAGGGATAGCATTGGGAGATATACCTAATGCTAGATGACGAGTTAGTGGGTGCAGCGCACCAGCATGGCACATGTATACATATGTAACTAACCTGCACAATGTGCACATGTACCCTAAAACTTAAAGTATAATAATAAAAGAAAAAAAAAAAAGAAAAAATGCCCTTATTCTAAATTGGCATAGCCACATGTGAGATTTCTAATCTATTTGGTTTTAGTTTAGGCTAATAAAAGACAGTTGCTTATCATGGGAATGTTTAACGAGGGAAATTAGGGAATGTACTATGTTCTCTGGGGACATTTAAAACAGGAAAACCATAAATCTGTGCACTTTATTCTGCTTATGAGTGGAGCATTGGATTCAGTCTCTAAATGTCATTCCAGAACCTTCCTTGTACATTATGCTATACAGGATGGTTCACTTGAGGCAGGCAGGCTTCAATAGTGCAATAGCATTTAGAAGTGTTTATTTTAAATTATGTTATACTACCCACTTAGATGACATATTTCATAGCACTAACAAAAAACATTTCTCCTATTTCTGCTATCTTTCAAATATCTGTATTACATCCACCAGTATTGTTTGTCAAGGATTTCTCTTAATTACGTAAGTATTGTTTATTCTATTATAAACCGTAAGTTTAATAAGTAGCTCTGAGGCATCAGTAAATGCTAATATAAAAATTAAGAAAAACACATTATGAGGTAAAAGAGATAAAGTCATAATGTTGCCTGTAAATACTGATTCTCAGAGTTGTAGAGATTCCATTTTCTTAATTATTAGTAGTATTAATTAAATTCAAAGCTCATTATTTCTTAAGGAGAAAAAGAAGAATTTTGGGGGGTTTTAACTCCCTCTACTTCTATTTTAGGTTCATCCTGATCATGCTAGAAAAATATTAGCAAAAATATTCTATTCTAATATGTACTGAGAAATTAATTTAACAGTATAATTTTCAGCTTAGACACATGCTATAAAAAGAAAAAATGTTTTACTTAGACAATAGAATATTAGGTTAAACAAAGAGTTCTCATCATAAAAATCTTATTTCTAGTAAATTCTATGGCACTTAAAGAGTTAAAGATTGAAATGAAAAAACTATACCTCTAAAAGGGCTGAATACACAGAAGTTTTTAAAACCATATATGGTAAACATAAAAACAGTAGTATTCTACAAAGCTAAAAATATAACTCTGAAACAGTGTATCAGTATTGTCAATACACGTCATTAAACACAGAACCTACAATTCTCATACTTTGTCATTATATTACAGAAAATTGCAAAAAAACCTATTTATATATTGAAATGTAAGAAACAGATATGCATAAAAATCATGAAAACACGGCCTGAACATATTTCACTGTACCATTTCTTTAAGAGGGTCCATCTGAATTGAATTTCAAATAATATATATCAACACCTTTACAAAAATGTTACTTAGGAACCCTTCTTTCTCTCTCCTCATTTTTTCTTCTGGTTAAGGAACTCAGTGTAACCCCAGCTCCCCTACTCCTTACTCACTTCCATCATTGGGAGGTGGAGTGACTGACCAATGATAAGCTTGGGAAGAAGAACTAGGCATTCCGCCACAGTTCTGCCATTCTTTTATAAGCAAGCCTACCCACATAAACCATGCATTTTCCATTGCTCCCCGTGCCATACATTGTCCTTCTGGACCCAATTTTGTCAGTAACCTGTTGCTATAGCCTGAACTGGGATCTTAAAGATAACTTTTAGCCCTCACATTAAGCTACAGCCTTCAACTTGGCCATTTTCAATAATAAAAGTGATATTTTGACTGCCAAGTGTACTCTATTGGGAGCCTCTTGGAAAGCACAATGCCTAGCAACAGGTAACCCCATTTTTAGGAGCTTGTCCTGAGGAGCTAACCCTGAACAAGAAACACTCTTTTAAAAATGCACAAAGATGTTCACTTCTATACTACTAATAATAAACTGCCAAAATCTAAATACCCATACTGGGTATAAATCAACTGATAAATCCACATGACAGACTCTCATACAATCGTGAAAAGAATTAACTATAAAAACTGTGTAACAGTATGGGGAAATGCTTTTAAAATAATGTCAGAATTAAAATGAAGGTAGAATGAAATCTAAAATTCTTTCCATGGCCTACATGTCCCTACCTGCCCTGATTCTTGACTTCCTTTTTGTTTCTACTATTCTCCAGCTATCCTTGCTTTCATTCCATTTCATGGAGAAGTTAAGCTTCTGTACTCACTATTTACTGACAAGCTCCTTCTTATTTGTGTCTCTGCTTCCATGCCATGTCCTCCAGAAAGAAATATTTGATCACCCTATCTATCACATCCTACCCTATACTCTTTCCACTTTGCCTTATTTTATGCTTTGTACTTACCACCATCTGATTTTTTATTTACTTGCCTTTCTATACCCAGCAGAATGTAGGTTCCACAAGAGCAAGGCCATGTCCCAGCATTTACAGCAGTGCTTAACACAGTAGGCCCTCAACAAATACTCATTTGAATGACAAATAAAGACATAATATGTATAAATTAAACACATAAAATAGGTAAATTAAAAACATAAACATTATGTAAAGAAGGAATTTTAGAGGGCAATATTAATTATGTGGCAATAAGCTTAATGGGAAGAAGATCATGCCAAACCACATAGGCCATGAAGCCAGGGCTACATCTGTGGGACAGACACGGCAATGGAGAATTAAGAAAGGTGGACTTCTGCTCCCAATCCCACTTTAACCAGAGTAGTGCTGCTTATTCCTTATTTTCTACATTGGGCATCCATCCAAATTTTGTCTAATAAATAGTTTCGTGGCTTTAAAATGTTTGAAAACAGCACATTAGTGCTTCATCAATGTGAGTGTACTGTTTAAGATATAAGGACCAGAAAAGAAAACTCAATTAGTTGGGTATAAATCATATAAAGATAACTAATTATGAAGGAGAAATTAGGAAGAAAAAAAGATTTAGGCCCCTCCTGCCAAAAAAAAAAAAAAGAAAACCACACCAAACTTTCCTAAAATAAAGGTATGGTAAAGAGCTAGAAATAACCAGAAAACCAAGCAAAATAAAACATAAAACAAAGCATATTCACATGTGCAATCTATACTGAAAGCTTTAAAATATGTACAGGTTGAGCCAGGTTGAGGGAGCTTCCCTAATCCAAAAATCTAAGATCAGAAATGCTCCAAAATCTGAAACTTTTTGAACGTTGACATGATGATGAAGATGACGTTGTTAACACTGCAGAAGTGCCTCTGGACATATGGTGAAAGTGTGTGACGGGCTTTGTGAAGAACGAGAGCCAGTGTGCATTCATAACAAGAAATCATGCCAGTTTATATTTGGTTGGTGCAAAAGTAATTATTGATTTTGCCATCAAAAGCAATGGCAAAAACCGCAATTACTTTTGCACCAACCTAATAAAATCAAAGAGAGACTTCTAAGCAAAAACTCTGTTAATGAGGCAGATGACTCTGGAGGAAACATTTTAAAAAGCCATCCAGCAGAATGCCCCCTTATCCGTAGAGGACCCACTTCCTGGTCCCTCTACTGCTTCTGATGTTTCTTAAAAAAAAAAAAAGTAAAATACATCCTACAGTAACCTTTTCAAAGGTTTAAAACACGGCATCATAAGTGGTGACTGAAAGCCTGCCATTTTCATTGTTGCTATTTTTCAACAGCTGATACAGTTATCTGGGTGATGTTACTGTGCTGCTTGGTGAACATATTATTTTTTCAATGTCTTAATGCATGTCCAATTTTTTTTTTTTTACTGTTAAGTAATTAGGTGTGAATAAGTACAAGAAAGTAATTGCCTATTGGTAGCATACAGATTCAGAGTCAGGAATGATGGTGATGCCAAACAACCACTGATTGTCCACATGGGTGGCTGAGATAGTGATATCTTTGCTTTCTGAGGGTTCAATGGTTCAATGTACAGAAACTTTGTTTAATGCACAAAATTACTTAAAATATTACATAAAATTACCTTCAGGCGATGTGTATAAAGTGTATATGAAACATCCATGACTTTCATGGTCAGACTTGAGTCCCATCCCCAAGATATCTCATTATGAATATGCAAATATTCCAAAATCCAAAAAATCTTAAATCTGAAACACTTCTGGCCCCAAGCACTGTGGTAAGGAATACTCAACCTGTACAAGTAAAATGTATTACCAAAAACTCAGTGCGCCATACCTGACCAGAGTCTCCAGTACAATATTCAGTAATATCACACTCGTTCACAGCATCCCGGCATTCATACCCTCGTGGCTGAAACTGCAAATCAAAATTCAATATTAAGAGTTAGCATTACATAATATTTCAGAGTTATTATAACATTCTTAGACTCACCGACAATGCCTATACTCTCGCATAACTAACACCAAACTCTTTTTAAGAATTAGCAAGACAGAATATCCTATTGCAGAATAGAAACAAGACCCAGATGCTACCCTCTACACTAAAGATGAATCATCAACCAAAGCTTTAAATGTTCAGATTTCAAAACCCACTGTTTCAGAGTACTATTTTCAGAAAACAATGTGACGGAAATCACCTAAAGAAGAAATTCTGGTTTGGCTTAAGACAAAATAGCAAAACACTATAATATAAACATTTAAGATCTCTCTGAAGAATTCACATATATACCCAACCTTCACTGAATTACCTATTAGCATAGATATTAAACTTTCTTTTGCTAAACACAGACAATCAAATTTTAATAAATTCATACGAATTACCTTTAGTAATGCCAGGGAATGCCTTTTGTATACAAAGCATTTTATTTGAGGAGGGTGTGGGTAAAAGGTGAAGGAAAGAGCCCATTGCCCTCAAGCAATTTATAATCTGGTTGGGGACATGAAGCAAGGAGAAATAAGCTAGAAACTTCTAAATACCATAATGCATAGTACCCCCTAATATTGAAACAAAATCATAAAATTATGTAATTCTATGGTTATAAGAAATATTAGAGGTTATATATATGAGAAAAGGGAAGATTAAAATGAGTTTTCAAAAATAACTGGTGGTCTCTGTAGATGGAAGACTGTGTCTGTCCACACACACACACAAACCATGTATATACACATATGAGTGTGCATTCATATGTTACTTTCCTATCTCACTTTCTTGCCTTTACAGGGGATTTTAAAAGCCCAATGGGAAAATATGAGCACTAGCTTTTATGTTCAGGTCTAAAATAAATTAGGGTAAGTTTTGAAGAAAAATGTTATAAGTAGGTCATATTATTAAAAAGACCACAGAAATTGTCTCCCCTCTATTCAACAATTTAATTTGGATTTCATCTATGTTAGTAGGGCAACTCTTTTGGAAGCAGTTTAGGTATATTTTCCTAATGAGGCATTGGAGGATAAGATGGTTGGTAGTGAATAATAGTAGAGATAAATGTTGCGGCCCACAGAATTTGAGATTTATCGATCCTAGAAAACTGCCAGGCTAATATGTACACTGTACCCAAGAAATTTGTGACAAGCTACACAAATGCTCAGTGTACACACTGAGATATCTGGCTAATCTGTCAATTAAAAGAAAGATGAAACTGTCAGAAAACTCACAAGACATGAGGTATTGTTACAGCAGGGCCCGTCGCTGCAGTGAGCCCCGTTGGAGAGGGAACATTTCTTACAGCATAATCCATAGCATTCCTAGAGAAAACACTTCACGTGAGTAAGCGAAGAGCCTTACCTGCTGGTCATTCATATTCTCTCCACACGTGGCATGCATATTCCAAATGAGAACATTTATACAACAGTAAGCAAATATTCTGGGAAAGAATTAATTACTTTAAACAAGGATAGATTCCTTCCTGCCATACTTGTCACCAAAGTAAGATCTTCTATGAAAGGACTTCAATAGCAAATAGAAAGCTTTATTTTTTTTTTCCTTTTTGTTTTTTTGAGACGGAGTCTTGCTCTTTCACACAGGCCGGACTGCAGTGGCACTATCTTGGCTCACTGCAACCTCCGCCTCCCGGGTTCATGCCATTCTCCTGCCTCAGCCTCCCGAGTAGCTGGGACTACAGGCGCCCGCCACCGCGCCCGGCTAATTTTTTGTATTTTTAGTAAAGACGGGGTTTCACCGTGTTAGCCAGGATGGTCTCTATCTCCTGACCTCGTGATCTGCCCGCCTCGGCCTCCCAAAGTGCTGGGATTACAGGCGTCAGCCACCGCGCCCGGCCGAGAAAGCTTAATTTTTAGCAGGCAATTCTCCTCCAATTAGCTCCACTACATTCTAATACCCAATCTATTTTATAAAGATAAAAATAATATACAACACGGAAAGAATGTTTTACGATTTGGTAAAACTTATCTGAGATGAATATGAGCTACAAATTTTTAAGAGGTAGGGAATTTAATTAGAAGAATCTATTAGGTTTGCTCAGACAAGGCCATAAGGACATGACTGATTCCAACAGGTCTGAGTTGAATTAAGCACTAATCAGAGAGATGAGAAAGAAAGGCAGTAAGACCACAATCAATGTGCTGGCCTCTCACAAATGCTATACCTGTTTGCACCAAGTAAGATCTGTGCTGTAAGTATAGAAGGTTTCTTATACCTACCACATGAAAACCACAATCACACTCCTCCCCAGCTTCCACGTATCCATTTCCACATTCCGTGGGCTCAAATAGCTAAAGAGATTAGGGACAGAAGGGAAAAATGTTTCAATTTATCACAGAAAATCAGCACATCAACTGGGCCACATACAATGGCCGTATAATCAGCTATCATGTGATATTCTTCTTTGATCTGTTGTTGTGGCATCTTATAAATGATGACTGTATGGGAAATACTGTTCACTTATTAATAGTACTTAAAAATATATCTGAAATGGGGCAATATCTCTTGGGGGATTCTCTGGCTGTGGGCTCCACAGATGAACTCTAGCATTAGAGTTACTTTTCATGGAGACAAGCTGTCAAGAGGAATAGATCACTTTTCATATTTGCTAATGGAGCTAAAATGCATTGCTAATAAGACTCACAGATATCTAATTTGCTAACTTGTCTCAAGACAGCTGAGAAGCCATAAAAACTGTCAAAAAGATAAATATGCTTCAGTCATAGCCAAATGTGATATGTACAATCAAGTAAATGCAAGTAAACTTAGGGGAAAAAATGTTGCTAGAAATCCAAGACCATCATTCTCACTGAAAAGAAATCTCAAGTGTCTGCAAGCATAAGACACATGTATGGATATACAGAAATCTCTCAGTCATTCCTAGGGCAATAGAAGAGTATAATTTCTAGAATAATCTAGTCTACTGGTGCCATGAACTTGCTTGCCAGATAAACTATATTATAGAGCAACTGTAAAGGTAGTTGACTGTTTATGAGAAACATGCCTGCTTCCCATTCCAGGGGCAGTGGGGAGGGGGGCAGGATTTCTCTGGGCATAATCACTACACCTTAAATGAAGGCTGGAGCAGCACACTCCAACCCAAATGCTCTGAGCCCTAAATATGAGAGGGAGAAACTGACTCCATCTCCAGCAGCTGAACACACCTCAAGGAAGCGCTGCCTTCCACTAAATTCACCTGAGAAAGAACTGATCCTCCTTCCACTTCCAGGAAGGCAAAACTATTACGAAAAGCAAAGGTTTCCAGGCTACTTGGGTGGGACTCCCCCTGTGGAAAAGTCCTATGAGCAAAATCAGCATTGCACATCTCTGTGTTATTTTGATCAGGAGGCAGGAGAAACTGGAAAAGGGAAGGGCTGACTAGAACATGGCCTGCACTTTATACCAGGCTCCCCCTTCTTTCCTTCTTAGGACTCTGCCTCCATCCTGAGACGGGTCACTATCTCCAACAGTGTGGAAAACATGGCAGTGGGGAAGATTCCTAAAGCACAGAAAATATGCACACATATAATGTAAAAATAATACACACACAACACATGCATATACATACATTCAAAACGCTTGGGGGAAAAAGTCACTTCTTTGATACATACATATAAACTATTCCACTGGCATCCATAGTTGTTTATTAACCATTGTACTACGTAGTTTAAAAAGACATAATTCCATATTTACTAACTTTTTAAAAAATAGATGATTTATAGTTATTTTTATTTCATTTCCAAGTTATTAGAATAATTTTCTCCTAACTCATAGACAATTTCAGAAATCCATTGATGGATCTTTATGCATATGCTAGAAACCTTAACCTTTCCAAACAAGTGAGAGTTGTTTCCTCAGGCATGATGCTTATAATTAGCTCCTAAGCTACAAGGTGGGTAAAATTAGCCATGTACATTACAATTCAAAAATGCCAGCAGCTCACATTAGTTCATTATTACTTATTTCACCCATTTTGAACACTTTGAAGCTTTTGGATTTCTGTTGCATTGAAATCAACGTTATGAAAGGCAGGCAACTGACTTTCACGACGCAAGGTCACTTTGAAAGTCCTGTTTCTTTTTTCCACAGCCATACTAAGATTCTACACAGATGTCAGGCATCAAGCCACCATCTCCTGACTACGTAGTGTCACTTAATTATGGGTTTAGGAATAAATTATCCTGTTAGTTACCACATTAGTTACTGATTTAAAAAAAAAGGTTAACATTATTTCGCTGCTCTCTCAGTTTGCAAAGTATTAAACATTTTGCATAGCAATGAGCTATATTTGACTCATGAAGTAGTATTTTAAAAAGAAATACGAAATTTGCCATGTTAGAATTTCCATACCATCTGCTAATTAGCATTGATCCTATCTTTTGCCTGCTGAGCAACTTCATTTCCAAACATGCTACTGCAGGTCTACAGCCCCGATTTATGCAAAAGCTTTGAAGCTGGTGAGTTTGAGACTTCCAGCTTTGCTGAAGTTTAGAGAAGTACGATGCATTTACCATATTCTATATAATAGTCCTGAGGGGCCTGGGACACACCCTATAATCAGTTAATATTTCTGCAACAAGACTTATGAATATTTACCTTATGAGGTATAAATATTTTCAGTTTAGGACAAGTTTTACTGTCAAATGTGTTTTCCACAAACATAAAAAACACTTCTGAAAATTTTCAGTTTTCTGAATTAAGAATACACGAATAAGGGATTGTGACACTATATACACAAAGTTTGACGAGATGCCAATTGACAATGTGGCCCTCTCCAGGTAAAGAGACAATGCATTATAAACACGTATGTGTATTTATGGTATCCATAAATACCTTGGGTGATTTTTTGGCTCGCTGATATTCATAAGGAACTAATGTCCCAAGAGGACAAACCACTCAAAAAAAAACAAAAGTCAAGAAATTAGTCAGGCCCTGCATGGTTTGGCTCTGTGTCCCCACCCAAATCTCATCTTGAGTTCTACTCTCCACTGTTGAGGGAGGGACCTACCTGGTGGAAGGTGACTGAATCATGGGGGCGGTTTCCCCATACAGTCCTCATGATAGTGAGTGAGTCTCACTAGAGCTGATAGTTTTAAACTGTGGCACTTCCTCGCACTCTTTCTCTCTCTCCTGCCACCTTGTGAAGAAGATGCCTGCTTCCCCTTTACCTTCTACCATGATTATAAGTTTCCTGAGGCCTCCCTAGCCATGTGGAAATGTGAGTCAATTAAAACTCTTTTGTCTATAAATTACCCAGTCTGAGGTAGTATCTTTATAGCAGTGTGAAAATGGACTAATACTTGTCCCTAGAAAGAATGTCAAGGAGAAATGGAATTTTTATCAGAGAAATTAGTTAAAATAATATTTTATCTTAATTTAACCCACCATCTCTTAGCAGCAGGGTAAAAATCTTAACATGAAAATCTCAAAGATATTTTAATTGAAGGATTGTTTGCTCTTTGGAAGGGAGGATTTGGGAGTTCTAGCTAGCACTGAAACACCAGAGACTGAGAATGCTGAATCTATGGTTTTGTCATTCATTTAAACAGGACTCAATCTTTAACATGATAAGGACTTTTATAACTAAATATTAATCTGATTGACAAGAAACCTGCTTTCCAAGACAGGCGTCTGATATCCAGCACTGTTGCACTGTAAAACACTGGAGAAATAATATACTTTCTTAGTATGCTTTCTAAGTTACTAACCTTTGTTGGCCTGTTGAAAAGGCAGGCTCCACCTCCTCTCTGTAAAAAGTCTCTATACTCCAAAATGCTGCACTTTGAAAATTTTCGAGAATGGGACACCCTGAGGAAACAAAGAATCAACTATGTAAATAATTTACCAAAAGCAATCATCAGAGAAGAAAATTAAAACCCCTAAATTAGAACAAAATGTTCACTTTGAATCCAAATGAATCTACACAAATTTTGACAAGGGACTTATGTTCAAATTGCCACTTAAGTACCTGTGGTGGAGTTTGCAGAGATGGAATTTCAAAGAAAATCAAAGATTTGGGGGCTACATTACAACCTCCTCAGCAGTCAAGCCCTTTTGTGACCAGGCTTGAAATGTTTTTTAAAAAGCTCATTACAAAACCTCTTCAAATAGGCTGTATTTTAAAGTTTGTTAATTTTTATTTGCTATATCTCATTAAAGTCAAGCATTTTTTTTTTTTGCCTCTGTTTTCTGAATAAAAGGAGCTCATGAACGTACTAGATTTTACATTGGAGGAGAGAGTTGTGAGGGCCAGTATATTAAAGACTATATCATGCAGGCCAACAATGCATTCAGGTAAACAAGGAAACCTTAAAGAGGTGTGTTAGATCATATATGTATATGCACGTATGTTTTTAGTATGTATATGCACAGTGACAATAGAATTGGGGTACGCTTCCATGAATAATGGCTCTTTATTCTCAATTTCAAATACTATTTGGTGATATTCATTATTAATCAGGAATAGAAAATGAGCCTTTCTGTGAATTACTTAATCAAATATAATATCTCTATGTCAGAACACAGGGGAATATTATACACATGGTTAGTTAAACTGAATCACACACACGCACACCTATTCCTCAGGAATACAGTGCGTGATTATAACAGTGCTTGACTTGCGAGTGACAGGCCACTTATTCTAGGAAGTAATTCAATAATTTTATGCATTCTGATGTATGAAGGTAGTTTACAGAAGTAGGTGAAACCTGCCACTGTTGATAGGAACCTCTTAGAAAAATATATAGAAATGTATTCTTGAGAAAATACATGTTAACTTTAAAACATTTTATCTTATTTAAAACATTTTATATATTTTATTATATAAAATATATTAAAGATATTATATGTTATATATATTATGAAGAGTCATTGTAAAAACTTCAGAGATTAATTTAGAAGACAGAAGACATCTCCCTATAGAACCAATATTATAGGTGTTATCTTCTTATAGTAGTCCTCAAAAAGCCTGGTTAAGCCATAAATTACTAAGCTATGGAGTAATAGGGAACCGTGGAAGCTAAGGGTTTCACGTTTTAAACTCTATTTCTAGAAATGCGTTCTAAAGTAGCAGGGATAATGGCCTACTGTGCAAACCTTCATGCCCACACTCCTCCCCAGGAGTTGGACTCCTAGGAGGGCTGGTGGAAGAAAACAAAGGAGCTCTGTCCAAGTAGGTCAGGGCCTCTGGCAACCAGAGGGACGGAGGTAGGACCAGAAATGGTTGGTGTGTTGAGCAGGTGTCTGGCATGGCAAAGAAAGCAAAAGAGGCACATGGGTGAGGAAACCTCTCCCCTCTACTAGGAGTGGGTTATGGCTTAGGGGGTCTGGGGGCAGTGGCTCCCATGAGGCAGGGGTCCCTGTGAAAGAGGGCAATATTTCCAGGCCTTGGTTCACTGAAGCAACAGCAGCTCTGGGGAAGCTGCTCTAGTTCCCAAAGTATTCACAAAAGAAAAGTGAGGGAATGTTCAAATGTCTATCACTAGAAGACTACCTGATTTAGATACAATAAGTCTGTCTTAATTTTTAAAAAGCTTTATTGATTTATAAACAGTAAAGTTTAATTTTTATTACCGTAAACATATATATTTACGAGTTCCTTAAAATGTAAATTGATGACTAAATTGATTTTCACTGACTGCTTCAGGTAGATAACCAACTTTTAATCTAAGTGTACTAAAAAATTAATGCCTCCACTAAACTTAGAAGCCTTTAATCATGTGCTTCCTTTAAGGGTTAATAAGAAGTAGAAGGTAATACATTTTACTTTTATCACCAACCTTAAATAAAAAATTAAAATACAAAGTAAATTAGATCTTTCAGTTTAAAAATATCAGACAATTAATTATTCATTTTATATTGTGCTTAGCCTAAAAGACCAATACCCGAGAGACCTTGTTTCTAACTCTACACAGCAATTTTAGCAAAAGGCATATATCAAATGCACGCATAATGAAAATTTACCCTGTTTCCTCCATGATGCAGCCACCCCAGGATTCTGTGCAGTCACATTCTGGTCCAATAAAACAATAAAAGCAACAGAAGAAAAAGGAAACAAAGAAAGTCACATATTTTTTTGGTATTACAACTCCTACAATAATTCTTTATTACCAATTCCATGTCAGTCAAATAGACACGGAATGTGAAGTCTTACAGAACAAAATTTCTTTTAAATCAATAGTTCCTTATCCTTTCCAGAATTATAGGTTAATTCCTAAGAAAACAGCTGGCAAGAAGTAATATTGTGCCTCTCTTCATTATTTTTGTAACTCTGACAACTCAATTTGGTTCCTAGTTCTAATGTTTAGTGAAAAGTACCCTGGTCTACAAATCAGACAGCCTGAGTTCTAGTCCAAGATCTGTCATATGAGAGAGTCCCATAGGCAAGTAACTTAGCATTTCCTGGGTCTCAGTGTTTCTACCTCTAAATGGGAATAACACCTTTTTGTCTATCTCCCAGAGTGGTTGTGGGGTTCACACTAGACGGTGTACCTATGTGCTGTGAATTTTAAAGCTCTGTTGCACAAACACAACATATCATCACTGAAGTTTTCTAACAGAGAATGCTCGAAGTTAGAGAAGAGAATTCAATTTGTTAGAGTTGAAGTGAGGATGAGCAAGAGACTTGAATGAACACTATGCTAAAAGGTTTAGTGAAAGAGAGCAATCTAAAACAGAAGTGTACATAATCACTTAAAAACAATTACAACTTAACTTCGATACCAGAAACTGACATATTGATATTGTGATGGGCTCTTCTCTTCATTAATTTTTTCCTGTTTCTCTTTTCTATGCCTCTCTCTCTATCGATATATCGATAGAGAGAGCAATATATATCAACGTATATATATAGAGAGAGGTATACATCTATCTATATATACCTATATAGAGAGAGAGAGGTATATGCAAAGATAGACTTCCAAATGGATTTTTTAAACTCAAAGTTTAGAACCAATGAAATAGCTACCTAAACAAACAAGTCACAAAGAAATAAAGAATTTTAGGCCGGGCGCAGTGGCTCACACCTGTAATCCCAGCACTATGGGAGGCCGAGGTGGGCAGATCATGAGGTCAGGAGATCGAGACCATACTGGCTAACACAGTGAAACCCCATCTCTACTAAAAATACAAAAAAATTAGCCGGGTGTGGTGGTGGGCACCTGTAGTCCTGGCTACTCGGGAGGCTGAGGCAGGAGAATGGCATGAACCCAGGAGGTGGAGGTTGCAGTGAGCCGAGATCGTGCCACTGCACTCCAGCCTGGGAGACAGAGTGAGACTCATTCTCAAAAAAAAAAAAAAAAAAAAGAATTTTAGGAAGGAGGGAACGATGGCAGGCATTAGTAATGAAGTCTACTTCTCACCCTATTCCATCATGCAACTCAGTAACACCTCTCAGCTGACTCTAGCACTGGCCTCCTCCCAGATTCAAGATTTCTAAACAAGGGCATAAACCTGGTCATACACCTTTCTGGTTTTAAGGTGTTTATGCCAGATGGTGAAACTCTAAACACTTCCTTTAATGTGTACTAGGTGTTTCCTGGGAGAGCAAACACTCTGAGCAAGATAATCAATGGAAGTTTGCGGAGGTTTGTGAAATGCCACCAGACACTTGTGATGACTATCTTAATGTACCCATAAAGGGAATTGAGAAGCCTGTGTAAATATAATTTGTTTCAATTTTCCACAATATTATGCATTAATGAAAAAAAGAATATAAAATATAGAATGATATTAAGGTAGATTTTTCCTTTTCTTCTCTAGGGAGGTTGGGGTGGTAAGTGAGACCTTTACTCCCAGTGTCTCATATTTTCAAAAAATAGGAAGGCACTTTCATCTAATTTCTAGTTAAGTGAATAATATGAATGAACACTTTGGTCTCTCTTTCCACCGGATTGCATTAGGTCGTTGCCCACTGTCATAAAAATGTATTAAAAATTATATTTTACCACTGGGTTTGTATAAAGATAAACACAATCTGGGTTGACTTTTATTCTGATTTTAAAAGAAATTAACATTTTTCATGGACCCTTCAGATTACTGTGAGCCCTAGACCCTTTGCCCACTAGAAAATCAGCCCTGTCTTCCTATCTACCTCTCATCTGATTAACGAAAAAATGACGCCTAACAGTCACTGGCTATGTTTTTTACTGATGGGATGTGTGGCCCTATTGGTTCTCCTTTTTGGACCTGCCTGGGCCACTAGAGGAGAATCCTATCCTCTACCACCTGTTCCCATGCTTAAAAGGCCCTGGGGCAGGGTCTTCCCTTGCAAAGCCTTTTTCTCCAACTTTTCTGATGAGACTAGGTGGGTAAATTTCATTAGAGTTTAAAGATGAGCTCTCTTTGACTCTAGATCTAAGCTATTTCCCAATCCAACTGTGATCTCACTAAGCTTGTGATGGAGGCTTTATCTAGCACCTTGTACGTCTGCTCAGCTGCTAGAACCCTGAGTGTGAGAGTATTCCCTGCCCCCAGCCCCACATTCTGCAGTGTGAGAAAGAGCTGACTCATTCCCGGAGAAACTGGGTATGATTTTATGGATTTTGAAAGGGAAATTTTTACAACCTAAACAGATTAAAAATTACCTTAAGTTGCTTATTTTCTAAATATTTTAGAGGAAGGAGATATACTACAATTAAACTATAATGACTGGAATGAAAAATATTTATTTATTGACTGGACATGCATTATACAGACAGAATGGCACATGAAAATGAGTAAGAAGGTCAGTGTACATACTTGGCTTTCTGCTAGAAGGTTCCCATTGGATTCCAAGGTTTTGAGCCAGGCTCTGCGATAATACTTGTGCCACTGCCATTGGAAGACCATACTGTTTTTCAGAGTTGAAAGTGTGTGGGAGACATTTGAGAGAGTGCACAAAGCTAGTTATTATTTCTTAATTGTTACCACAAATCTTCTCAGTTCCCTAAGTAGAGCCTGTCAGTATCTTAAGATGGCATATGCTACTTCTCACCTCCTCTTTACAACTGGGCCCAAGAAGCAGAAAGCCCCTCTTACTATGTGATATCTCTCAGAATTTGAAGCTCTCACATTGAAACATAAAATACAAGTCACAAAAGGCTGTGCTCCAATTCAACTTATACCAAACTAAGAATAAATTTAACTTACTAAAATATGTCAAGAGAGGTACCTACTAAATGGGCAACTGGGATAACCTGGTATAATATACTCCAATATTATTCCAGGCTAATTGTAGGCTATTGAGATAACCTGGTATAATATATTTCAGTATTGACAAGAGTTTAGATATAATTGGTTATGCTTTTTGGGTGCTGTTACCAATTAAGAATTTCCTTTATAAAACTGAAAGTATTAAAATCTGAACAATGAGATTAAGGAAATAGGTGTTTGAGTTCATTCTACAGATAGGTAGGTAGAAGGCATGAAAATGAAAATATATACATAGGGAGAAAAAAACATACAGTACTGATATCAGAAATCCTTTGATTTTAATGAGTTAAATTTAACATAGACAGAGGAGCATTATAACAAAAAAAAAGTCAGAGAAGGATTAATAAGCTTATAAAAGCTTAACATCTTATCTATAGAGGCCTAAAAGTCTCCAGGCCAATCTTCAGCTGCATTTGCCTGATATATACGAAAAATTGTCATTATGACACCAAAATATGTCACTATGAACCAAAAGGACCACGTTGGGTTCTATTTATTAATAACATAAGCCACTCATGCTACATTTGCCATGTCATCATTCTAAACAAGCACGAGAAAGGATGTAAACTGGGCCATAGGGAAAAAAGAGAACAGATGCAAAGATGAAACTCTAATTGGTAAAATTTACCTCATTCACACCAACTCCTCTTGTGCGAGAACAGACACCTCCAAAGTAACTCAGACTGCTTCTCTTATAGTGAAATGTCACCCGCCTTAAGAAAAAGCAGTGCTATCAGAAAACCAACGTGGTGGACCATCATTTCATACTCTCCCAAAATATGTCTACCCTCCTACATGGAACACCCCCAAACCATCCTCCTCCAAGAAATCAAAAACTTTATTTCAACTACCTTAAAATTTATGACATAATTACCTTTAAATTTGTTATGTTACGTAATTTCAATTGAGCAAGCACCAAGTACCTACTAAGCATCATGTACTAGCACAGGAATTGAAAACACCAAGATAAACAGACACAGCTCTTGACTTTTTTCTAGTAGAGAATATCTAGCAGTGATTAAAAAGAATTAATATTGCTGATTATTAAAAATTGCTGATTAAAGACTGAAAAAACAGGAAGTCAACGGTAATGGTGGGAGGAAAAGAAGGAGTGGTTTGGTTGGTTTGATTCCAGGACAGAACCTTAGAGGACTATCTGAAAATAGCTTTGCCATGACTGGGGAAGAGAATAGCTTATTATATTAAAAAGAAAGTATAGAACCCTTTTTCCTTAGTAGTAGAAACTCAACTGAATAGTTCATCTAAAAGGACTACATTTTGCTAGCCTCTCTTGTAGCTAGGTGTGGCCCATGTGACTAACACCTAGCAAATGATTTGTTCATGAAACATACATGTGCAAGCTTTCAGGAAACCTGCTTTACAGCAGTCAGCTCGGCTGGAAGGAGTACCCTTTTGCCCTTCTCCCCACATGTCATGCCCGCTGCCAGTAATGAAGGCTGGAGGGCCAGCAGGCATCCTAGATTGTGAGTTGATCTTGAGGATGGAAGTTATGGGCTCTAAAGGTAGATATTGTGACTACAGAACCATCAGCATCCCAGCATGGGATATCCTAACTCCATGCTTCTTATCTAACAGACAAAGGAACCCACAGAAATCTTGTTCAAGTCACTATTTTCTGATATTTAACTTAACTGAACCAAAAAAGGGATAAGGATAAATGTCAGACCAAAGACTACACTAAAGGCTGAAATGAGTACGTACGAGATGAGGTGCACAGCATCAGCATGCTGCTTAATGCGCTGCCGGTATTTTGAGAACTCATGGAGCATCTGCACAGGGTTGGTGGTGATGTCAATCTGATCCTTCTCAGTCCAGGTCTCTACAGCCACCAGGACAACCCTGGTGTTGAGCTGCTCCTTGTAAATCTGAGGGTATACAACAGGACAGGTGCAGGAGGAAAACACTGGGTCAAACATGCACGATCAGTGAGTCAGAGTCAGTGGAAGGACAGGAAGGGGGAGGTGAGAGAACACGGGGTCATAATTAGCCCATTATAGAGAATCTTCTTTTCCTTTCTTTTTTCCAAGAGCAAAAATAAAGAAAGAACAATCACACAATTTGGTTTCAACTCTCCTATAGGGTTATTTCGATCCCAGAGCAATACATTCACTGTCCTAGGGAGAGACAGTAAGGATTCCAAAGCCAGGGCATAAATTTAAAACATCGTTCAGTAAAATCACCCTTTCAAATCTCATAGCAGGTAACAGGTTGGAGCCTGATATACCAGTTCTGAGTAACCGCAGTGCAACAATTTATTCCTGCTGGATTGGAATGAATCACTAAATCTCCAGATAAGCACCAAACAATATAGCTGGCTTACCCTTGGAGGTCATATTATATGAAAAGTAAAATAACATTGGGAGAGAGAGAGACTCAAGGATCTGAGGCTAAAAAAGAGCAGATCCCTATCACTCATCTCATCCTCACCACTGGGTGGCATCACCCACAATATTTAAATTGTTCCCTTTCTGCTCTCTCTCTATTTTTGGCCCAGTAGCTAAACAATTCACACAATTAAGCAACTTCAATGAATGCTGTCATTTTGCCCTGTTTTCAAACTAATTAAGAAAACAATGGGCCAGGCGCGGTAGCTCACGCCTGTAATCCCAGCACTTTGGAAGGCCGAGGCGGGTGCTTCACAGGGTCAGGAGATCAAGACCATCCTGGCTAACACGGTGAAACCCCGTCTCTACTAAAAATACAAAAAATTAGCCAAGTGTGATGGTGGGCGCCTGTAGTCCCAGCTACTCGGGAGGCTGAGGCAGGAGAATGGCGTGAACCTGGGAGGCGGAGCTTGCAGTGAGCTGAGATCGTGCCACTGCACTCCAGCCTGGGCAACAGAGCAAGACTCTGTCTCAAAGAAAAACAAACAAACAAACAAACAAACAAACAAACAAAAACCAATGGATGATCTTTGAACACACTGAAGAAGGGGAACACCATTATGCCTAAATCAAATTGAAGCTATTATATAATGACTTTACAACAAAAACAAGTTAAATGTAATGTCTTTTAAAAATTAGTGGTCAGCTTCAGAACCTTATGTGGTAACCCAAAATAAAAATTACACTTTGCATGATGTAACTCTATTCAATCATGTTGAAATGACTAATTCAGAGATGCTACCAAGTAAACAGCTTTTGCAGAGGAAAAGATGTGGTTAAGATTCTCTTTTCCACATTCACTTGTGGTTTTCCTCTGAGAAGATAAACAAGAGCTGAAATTAAAGAAAATTAATAAACCAGGTGTAAATTGGCACTGAGATGCTATCCTAACTCTATATGAGATACTCGACGCACATCCACTCATGTTATAGTTTTGTGCAGCTGTGCCCACCAGGTACATAACATACATATGTTATGAATATTTACATGATTGGAGGTTTGTGGACTGCTTAAAAGGCAGAAAAGAAGGCAGCTCTTTGGAGTAAATAAGTATCATTTAGATATTTGGCAACTTATAAAAAATGGTGGGGTTTTTTTCGCATTTAAGAAGGAACACACAATAAAATACCCGATAAAAATATATTTAGCTAAGCAAAATAGCACTTTACATTACAACATATGGAGTAATATTCTATATTTAATTTCTGACTAGTCAACTTAAATATTCATTGGAACATAATATATAATGTTCATATCTATAGAGTTCTAACCTAAGGCAGGAAAAAGGCAGAAAATCTTAAGCATTTTCTGTAATTCACAAAATAAGTGAGGAAAACATATCAATATTGAAGATTTGTACAGTTAGAAGTCTTTGTAAGGAGATACATATTTTATTCTTCCAAATTAGTTTTATTTGGGGACTGCACTTATTTCCATCATCTAGAAATCAAGTATGAAATATCACACCAATGGGAACACTAAGAAAATATATTTGTGTCCTTAAAAAAATTTTTTTTGGTATTACCTATATTCTCCAAACATACTCTGCTTCAATCCATTTTTTCTTCTCTGTTACCACCATATATTTAAGAAAAGCCCAGTTGTTTCTTTAAAAAGTCTCATTTGCCAGTATAATAGCAAATAGATTTTGGTAGCTATTTCTCCACTGTTTTTGTCCTCCACAGACTGGGGGCAATAATGTATAGACGCAACTTAGAAGCAACACTAATGTATCTTTGGGATTCCGGGAATAACTCAGTCATCTGAAACTCTCAGAGCACTACTCTGTGAAGCGGACCATCCTATAATTCCTTAGCCAGATGAGCTTCAGGATTGTGTTTTTAAATTTGTTCAAGAAATACCTAAAGTACAAGTAAGCAAATAGAGATAAACCATTCCATCTTGGCACACAAATTCAAGAAAACCAGGATACTTACAGAATCCACAAGGTTGACCACGGACTTTGCAAAGTTGTTGGTATGTGCATGAGAAGAGCGATGCTTCTTATACTAGGGGGGAAATACATACCAGTCACTGCCAAATCATAAGTGAATAATAAATTTCAAAATGCTGTAAAAGCAGAAATATCTCAGTAATAGTAGAAATATGGATTTAAAAATATATAATTTAGTTTGTGGTATACTGGATTTGGTGGTGTTACTTCTCTGTTAGGTGGCAAAACTCTGACTATCTAAAACATGATGTTAGCTGGGCAGCATGGCTCACAACTGTAATCCCAACACTTTGGCAGGTGGAGGCTGGAGGACTGCTTGAGGCCAGGGATTTGAGACCAGCCTAAGCAACACAGTGAGATCCTGTCTTTACAAAATTTTTTTCAAAAAAAAACAAAAAAACCTACGATGTTCTGAATAATAGTAAGGACCTATAGAAATCGATATGAGAAGCTTTATACCTAAAAAGTAAGTTTTAAATTTAGTCTTAATGTCTACAAATTCAATCCTTTTGTTTTCATTGAAATGACATTTTGTAGCTTATACAAACGGCTTAACCCACTTGTCTCACTTTAAATTCAAGGCCACGCACAGATCAAGAAAATGTCTTTGTCAGTGCTTTAGATACTGTCCATGATATGGACAGCATTTGCCAGGCATTTAGTATATCCTTTCAGAGGAATGCCTCCTCCAAATGAAGCCATTTGCTTTTGACTGCTCAAAGTCAAAACAAAGAGAAGACAAAAAGTAAAAATGAAGTGTGCTGAGAGTTTATGATTGTTTATGTTTATTTAAGAAATAAAGAAAAGTAAATTAATAGAGTAATTCTACAATGACATCTGGAGGGCTACGTTTTTAGCAAGGAGTAGTACGCTTTGCTTAATGTCTTCAAGAGGACATTTGAAAACTGGTCTACCATAGGAAAATCATGCCCTCTACTGGTCCATGAGGTTATTATTTCTACAACACTAAGGAAAACAAAACCTACTTAAAACCACAGACTCAGATTTGCACAAGTCTTTGAAATTTACCTTCAATTATAATTATGAAAATAATGCATCTTTCATAAAGATTCAAAATATTTCTACATTAGAAAATTCTTTTATTTGTCCTTTGCCCATTCGCACCCTATATATAACTTTTGTCAGATTCCCTTCATTTCATTCTATCTGTGACTATGTTTTTTAAACAAAGAATATATATCTCAATGTTTACATATCTAATGTTTATTTTTTATAACAACAAAAACACTGATTACCCATAATAAATGCTAAATAAATTAATATTCTGCTATTATTATAGTATTCATGAATACATAACTGTTGGTATAATATTACTATTACTGTTCATGTTATTGCCACTACTGTACATCATAATCTGACCCAAACTGTCTATATTTGTGTTCTTTTAAAGTAAACTGTAATGTGTGCATATAACTGGGTCATAAAACATCCTATTAATCTGAAATTATTCAGGCATTATAACACATTTTGTAAACTTGGCATAAAGAAGTTTCTATAGATAGCTCAGCATTTTAAGTTGCCTAGCAAATTCCACAAGCTGAAAACTTTCCAAGATACACTTAAGAGTAAAAGGAAAAATATTAACATTAAGTTCCTCTGGGATGATGAAAATGTTCTAGTTCCACTGAATTGTGGATTGAAAGAGAAAACATTAGCTGATATCTATTCTTCTAATGCAGTGGTGTTACACACCTATTAAGATGAATTTTAGTTTGCTTCTGAGTATTAATTTGTTATTTTATTGAGATTTCTTTTTATAGCATAATGATCACGGAAAACATGACAAGTTTTAAAACATTTCAAGTTTTAAAAATTAATAAAATGAGGTATTTTAAAAGTCTATCAAAATGTAATGTTTTAAATTTATTTCATATTTGTAATTTTCAATCCTCTGATTTTCTTTTTAGAAAAATTATTTTGCCTGTCATTGTTATGTAAATTAGAGAGTGCCAAGAATGGAAACAGAGATACCTGTTGGGAAGCTACTGCAATAGTCCAGGTAAGAGATAATGGAGGCTAAACAACTGTAGAGAGAAGTGAATTCAAGTACCACTACGAGGGTAGAGCTCCCACGACTGGATGATGTATAGGATGTGGAAGGTGAGGAAAGAGAAGAATTAAAAGATAACTCCTAGGTTTTGAACTTGAATGGATGGGGGATTGTGGTGCCACTTAAAATAATAAGAGAGACTAGAAGAAGAGAAGTTTAGGACTAGGGAACTAAGAGTTCTGATTCAGAAGTTCTATTCAAATCAACACTAAAATAGAGATATCAAATAGGCAGTTCTGTATATGAGCACAGAACTTAAGGGGCTAGAGCTAAAAGTAGGGAATAACGAGTTTAAAGTCATGATCCCACTTAAAGACTTGAGGCTGCAAGTTGTTACTTAGGTAGAGAGTATACAAAGAGAAAAGAGCCCTGAACCAAGCCCTGCGGCACTCACATAATTCCAGAGGTCAGATTTTAAAGACTAGGAAGAAATAGCCAGTGAGGTGAGAGAGCTACCACGTCATAGAAGCCAAGAGATGAAATAAAATTTTCAAAAAAAGAGGGTAATCAACTGTGTCCAATATTGCTGAGAGAGTAAGACAAGGACAGAACAATGACCACTAGATTTGTTAACTTGAAGTGCCATTTAATTGGACACCTAGGGTTTAGTAGAAACTGTAAGTGTTTCGCCTAAAACAAATATTTGCTCCTCACAACTCTATGAGGTGGGTTTTATTATCCCCAAATAACTTACTCAAGATCACACAGCTAGAATTTAAATCCTTCTAGTCTCTAGGTTGAGGGAGGAGGTAAGCTGGTTCAGTTAACAATTCCTATTAAATAGTTTATATATATTCCTAACAAATCATGATTATTAATGAAAACTCAAAATTTGTTAGGTGTATATAAAATGTAGTGGTTTTTAAGTAAGGAAAACCAAGTGAGGTTTAAATTGAAAAATATTTAAATTATCCTCACATATTTACATTTATTGACGCATAGTTAAGTATGTAGCAAAACACGTACGCAAAACATTTGCTTTTCATGCACTTTATGCACTTTAAAAAATCTCAACCAATTTTCTATTAGAATAAGATTTTTAATATTTATTTTTAACTTAAGCAGCTCAAAGACATGTTTGCAGACTCTTATCAAGGCTATAATTGGCTTGCAAATGAGGTTCCACCAGCCAGGTACTAAGATACTTTTTACCAAATTGAGGGATTTTTCTTTTCTAATGGAAAGCCACTGATAATGTGATACCTATTGAAAATAAGATATCTGCATTTTTTTCAGGCAGCCAACGTTAAATCACTCTGAATTAAAGGGATAAGCTTGAATGCAAATGTAGGCAGAATGTTTCTATTTCCTGCATGAATTAGAACTAATTTTGCATATAAAGAAAAATATGCAATCACCATTTATAACAAAACTTACTTTCACATTTCTGATCAGTTTAAAACAATCTTTATTTAAAATGGTTGCTTTTCCTTCCTGAACACATGCAATCCTTAAGAAAACTGTCTTTTGAAAAAAAATAAGATTAGAATTTGGTTTTTCAACCCGAAGGTGAGAATTATCAAAATAACTATTCTGGATCGTATAGTATAAAGATTGTAAGATGAGTACTCTCAGTGAGATGATTATCCTAAAGCCCAGCAGCAAATCCCCACATATTCAGAAATAAATGTATTAATTATTCTAGTTCAGTTTGACTTTCAACATGTGAATTTAAGTACTTTGATCCAGTAAGTTCTGATATACTACTGAAGTGGCAATCAAATTTAAAAACAACCTTCATCTCATAGAAAGCATACCTCAAAAAATTTTTTTCAGCTCTCAAAAAAAAAATTCTTATAAAATGTCATACGTATTTGGGACTATTATGGATTAGAATGTAACTCTGTCTTAAAGCAAAAGGAATATATTTAGTTCTATTAGCCAAGAAGTACTATTTCTTTAAATAGTAGAAATCTTAGGCAATTTCTATTTTAGGCATTATTACCACTCAAAAATAAAAGCTTTCCTCTTTTTTGAGACGGAGTCTCACTCTGTCGCCCAGGCTGGAGTGCAGTGGTGCAATCTTGGCTCAGTGCAACCTCCACCTCCCGGGTTCAATCAATTCTCCTGTCTCAGCCTCCCAAGTAGCTGAGATTACAGGTAAATGTCACCACCTCCGGCTAATTTTTTAATTTTTTTTGTATATGTATATGTGTATGTATATGTGTGTGTGTGTATATATATATTTATATTTTAGTAGAAATGGGGTTTCACCATGTTGGCCAGGCTGGTCTCGAACTCCTTACCTCAAGTGATCCACACGCCTTGGACTCCCAAAGTGCTGCGATTATAGGCGTGAGCCACCACACGCGGCCTTTTTTTCCTTTTTAAACATCGATTCCCTCTAAATTTATCAGTACAAATTACAATTCTTTTTCCTTGTTTCAAAAACTGATGACCATATCATACCTACTTCTCACCCATTTTAATAATAGTAATAATAGGCCAGGCATGGTGGTTCACGCCAGCAATTCCAGCACTTTCGGAGGTTGAAGCAGACAGATCACTTGAGTCCAGGAGCTCAACACCAGCCTAGGCAATATGGCGAAACCCAGTTTCTACAAAAAAAAAAAATACAAAAAATAGCCAGGCATGGTCATATGCACCTATAGTCCCAGCTACTCGGGAGGCTGAAATGGGAGGATCACTTGAGCTGCGGAGGCGCAGGTTGCGCCGAGATGAGATTGGATCACTGTACTCCAGCCTGGGTGACAGAGTGAGAACCTATCTCAAAATAATAACAATAATAATAATAATACTAACAACAATAATAAAATGAATTATTAAAATTTACCCTTAAAAGATTTGATAGCCTAAATAAGGAACTCTATCACAGAACATGTGACATGGTGTGTAGAAATTTTCTACATATAAAATAATATTTTAAGAAGTATGCTATTTTATTATTCATAAGAATAAGGTTATTTAAATGTTTACCATTGAGAAGGGTTAAAAAATAAATTCAAAAAATATGCTGTTTTAACAATTACCAAAAAACTATAACTGTTTAATTGTAATTAACACTTAGTAGTAACTGTTTCCTATTTTGCACAGTTACTGAGATTTGCTCTTTTGATTGATAGCTTCATGTACTTTCCTGATATATTATGGTAGAACAAGAGATTTGGAATTGCAAGTAAAGGTTTGAGAACAGATTCTATAGATTAACAGCTATTTGAGAATGCACTTTGTGCATTCAAAGACATTGAATATATCTTAATTATTATTTCTACTACTCTAAAAGTATTTATATAATGGATGTTGAAAAAAGCTTAGGCTTCAAAAGCCATAATTTCACAACATGCCACAATGCTCAAGATTGAGAATCAGCTGGGAAAAAAAATCTCAATGTTCCAATCAACAAAAATAATTCAGATAAAAAAACTATCTTGGGGTTTCAAGCAAATTAAAGTCCTTCAGAAACTCATATTTTAGCCTTTACTGTCTAAAATGACTGCCTACACATCTGGCTTTCCTTTCCACCAAAAAGGACCTCTCTTAAATTATATGTGTTCTGATAAATTTTGCTTCTTACTAACATCTCAAGCAATATATTTAAAGGCAACTGGAACAGAAAATAAATGTGTATACAAAAGTAAGAGGTATTCTATTGATATTCAACACAATTAAACTGATAGTTAATGGAAAACATCCATTAAAGTAGAAACTTAAAAGTTTAAATATAAATTAAGTCACTATTTTTTTAAATTTCTAGTTTCAAGGCATTCTCTGAGTAGGGCCAGCTAATTAGAATTTCACATCATTTTAGCATGAAGCACAACCTTATCATACCATGTACTAATCTAATTTTGGTTTCCTTAAAGTAAAACAAAGACTTAAAGATAATTCCAAAGCAATTTCAATTTTTGTTCCAATCTTTCATAAGTTTGTCACCAATACCTGATTTCTATGCATTTTTTAAAAGATTCTCATCTATATAAAGTCTTTTCAGAAGTGCAACTTTGTTTTGATAAAACAAGTACTTTTTGCCTTAGAGTTTACAACTTTTAAAGTTCAATCACATAACTACAACAGAGATTACAATTGGCCTAAACAGTCTGGGGAGTGTGGCAGTGGTTGCTGGAGCCAGCTCCCATCAGATCCCGAGAGCCAACTAGATACATCCTCTCCTAACTCCTCATCAGTGATCTCACTTTGATAGCTTGAAATCAGCTATGGTGGCAATATTTACACCACAGATATCAGCAAACATTATAAATCAAGAGAGCTAGGTATTAAAATTTACCAGCACACCACTAGTATTGGGTGTACTAGTATATAGCCTACTGACCAAGACTCTTCTGGGCTTCAGGCAAGTAATTTTATAAAGGAAACGGTTAAGTATAGTTAACGGAGTTTCTATTGTATCTTCAAGAGGGGAAAATGAGGAACAATGAATGTTTTTCATATATCTTTTAAGTGTTACTGAAATGACATATTCAATCACATTTTACTGCCACAGAAGTTAACACGAGATTATTCATCTTTCCAATATTTAAAGACGATAAGTCGCCGGGCGCGGTGGCTCACGCCTGTAATCCCAGCACTTTGGGAGGCCGAGGCAGGCGGATCACGAGGTCAGGAGATCGAGACCATCCTCGCTAAGGCGGTGAAACCCCGTCTCTACTAAAAATACAAAAAATTAGCCGGGCGTAGTGGCGGGCGCCTGTAGTCCCAGCTACTCGGGAGGCTGAGGCAGGAGAATAGCGTGAACCCGGGAGGCGGAGCTTGCAGTGAGCCGAGATCGCGCCACTGTACTCCAGGCTGGGCGACAGAGCGAGACTCCGTCTCACAAAAAAAAAAAAAAAAAAGACGATAAGTCATCAAAGATATTCACTTTAGATAAACCTTTATTTTATATGTTTGCCTCCTACAATTGTATCTACCATAAGCATAATTAACTAGTAAGAAAAAATAACATATTAGCAGGACAAAAGCACGGAATAAAATTAGAAAGCAGTGACCAAATACATAGATGAAGAAAAGTAGAGAATAAGAATTTTAAATGAAGACAAAAGATGCCAGATAGCTAAATCTATTAATTATAATTATTAAATGTAAGGAAAGTTTAGAGTTGTGAAAATTCTATAAAACTCAGAGTCTCCAAACACCGACAAATAAATCAAGTCACTTAATATGTCTGAATATCTTGGGGTTAATAAGTAAAAAATAATGATTAACTATAAAGTAAAATGTATTCTTTCTTAAGTAAGCTATCTGTTCTAAAACCCACTGACTCTATATTCTTACCGTTTTGTGATCATTAACAATCATAAGTTCCAAATATTTCATTTCTTCAAATATACCACGTGATGGCTACGGAAAATAAAAATATATGGTCAGAATAGTGATTGACATAAAATCTCTCTAGTGCTCACTGTTAAGTTGTAGATAAGACTTTGAATTTCAGAACAACTCTCTGCTGCCTACTTTATAAACACCTTAGAAGAAAGTTGGTCAGGCAAATTTTAAAAAGTGATCATAAAATATGGGTACATATTCAAGTATTTAGAAAATAACTGTATTTTATTATCATTAAGGTACTTACTTATCAACATAGAAAACAGTCCATGTTGTTGTATATGGTTTTTATATGTAAAAATATTCTAGAGAAAAATTATAGCATAATTATGTTAAAATAAATAAATCTCAATTTCACATTAAAATGTGATAAAATATTCATATTTACTTAAAACGTCAATGAAAATCTATGTAAAACTCATTTAATAAGAATAGCATAAGTTATAATTACTTCCAGATATATCTGATACAGATATCAATGTAGTTAAATAGAAACATTAACTCACTCGAGTGAAATTCTAAAAATAATATGCTAATTCTTAACTGCTCAATTTCTCAAAGGAAAAAATATTGGCAATTATTACAGTCTAAAGTCTTCTAAATTAACTAGATAATTCTTTAAGAGTAAGTATTTTAGCCTTCATTTGGACTTTTATTTCTTTTTCATAGTTGGAAAATTATAATAGTGGCTCTTTTTTCTTTATGTACATAGTCATTGATCACTTTATATTTGATGAGGTGGACTGTAGGGAAAGAACAGCAGCCATTGTAAAACATATTATTACCAACCACATCTTTATGAATGAGCTAAAAGAGATCTAATAATAATTTATATAATATATAATAAATGTATCCATAATTATCATAAGAGTTTCATAAAAGGGAGGAAAATTTAAACTGGAACTAAGTTTTTGATGGCTGGTGGTCTATTTTTTTCACAAAAAAAATACACTCAGCAAAACATTATCTAAAATGTGCAATTTCTACTATAGTTACTCATTAAGTTATCTAGTAAATTACCATGTAATGTATAAGCTGTGGAATTAATTCTCAGTTACATAGCATTCACCATGTAATTACTAAACAGTCCCCATCATTACAGCTTTCTAGCCTATTATGAAAAGACCAGAAACATAATTTCAATTACAAAGCCCCTATACGTTTATCAATACATGTGAAGTATATAACAGTAGTTGATTATACAATTACATGATTTTTATTTAGAAACTGTTATATTGCTAATAGTCAAATAAATTCATTGTGTTCTGAAAAACACATACAGCTTTAAAGTTTGGTGTAACAGAGTTTTTAATCTGAAAGTAATATAAATATGTATGATTAGCCAACATTTCAAAACCTAACTCCTCTCTCTAGATTTTTTATTAACAGAAATGTTTTATATGACACTATATAAGCCATATAGAAAGAAAAGTCTGCTGTACTTTAAATAGAAAATAAAACGCACTGCAATTATCATCAGAAAACACGTAGAAAACAGAGCTAAAACAACACGTTCTTTAGATGACGTCAGGGTTCAGAGACTACCGTAATCAGTTTGAATCACTAACAGAAAGAGATCAATAAAAAGCAGTGTGTTAAGGCTCAAATCATAGGGTTTTTTGTTTATTGTTTTCATTTTTAAACAACAGTCCCCAAAATCTGAACTGTTTTAGGTACACTTAGATAATGTGGGGTGATAGGCACATGACTTCATTGAGTAAAATAGGCCCACCCAAGGCTCAATGCCACACTCACATTCACTGCTCTCTTCCTTCTTTTCAACCACTGTAATTCAGAGAGAAAGGGCCACTGGTCACCTCTTTCCATAGCTGCAGAAAGGAAAAATTAGTATCAAAATTTTATGCTTATTTCAATGGGAGTATGTTTTAAAATATTACATGAAGAAACAGTGGCACTGATAATATATGTCAAACTAAGGTGAAAAAAAGCACACTGATCATTATATATTTCACACTCTCATGACCACAAAGATAGTTCAAATGTAATTTTGTCCCAAACATCAAGAAAACATAATGTTCAAGATTCATTAGAAGATGCATATTTGATATAAAACCACTTGACAATATCTGAAAATTTGACAGAGTTCTACTATGTCTAATTCATTTTAGCATTCAAAATAATGTATGGCATTAGCTTTTGCATAAATTATTAAAGACTTTTAGCAGTAATATACAGAAATAAAATCACATGCCCCAACAATCAAAAAGAAGCTTCTTCCAACATTAGCACACTTAAGATGTGTCTGGAGCAGAGCATGAGAGGGAGGCAATCCAAGCTGGCTCAAGAGCAGCAAACTGCCAGGAAGATTTCAGGATGAACCTCACTGTAAATCACTGTACTAAATTTGACCACACTTTCTGGTTCCCAAGGCAGCTTTACTCAAAGTCTTCATGTTTTAGTCTGCACTGGAAATGACTCTCCATGCCTCTTTACACAAGAGCCACCACTCATTCCAGTGCTGATCCACGATGTTCACCCCTGATATCAGACCAATTCCACTTCCAACAAGCCTGCATATCTACTGAGCTCCACCAGATAAAAGCTCATACTACATAAAATATAATCGCTATTTTTAGTTAAAACTTACTGAGATTCTTCATTTGCTTAGAATACTGTCCTGCCAAGGTTTTCTGGATTATATGTGGTCGACCTGTGCTTTTCTGAAACAAAACAATTGTAGGCAATTTAGAAAGCAAGATGTGAACAAGCCTCTATGAAACAGTGTTGGAACTTTCTCTAATGTCCTTCCTAAAATGGGAATATTTATATGTCAGTTTTTTAGCTATCAAAAGTGAAAAGTATGTCTTATTGAAATCTTAATTTTAAATAAAAGAGTATCATCTAATTGCCCCAGTTTAGATAAAAACATAGTGTTACTGGTTACTCTTAAATCTTAGCTTTCTTTAAAGCTATAAATGGGAAATTCACAAGAAACACAAAAAGTCAATAAACATGTAAAAACATGCCGAATGCTTTCATATTCCTTCAACATGCATTTTTTTTAATGAAGCACCAACTTTTGCCATAAAACTGATGAAGTTTTAAAAATTACGATATCCATAGTTAATTACCATTGTAAGGCCAAAAGCACTCTCACACCTTGCTGGCAAGAGGAAATTGGTAGCATAGTTTGAGAGAGAAATTTAGTAAGGTATATCAACAAACGTGAAAACATTTACATTTTTTGCCCTAGAAATTATGCTTTTAGGAATGTCTATTACCATTATTCTTATTCCTATTAGCTTCCATTACTGAGTGCATAGTATGTATCAGGTACTGTTAATGTACACATTATTTAATTTAGTCCTGACAAAGACGCCATATAGTGCATGGTTTATCCCTATTTTACAAATAAAGATATTGAGGCTCAGGGAGATACATCATTGTCTTAAAATTATCTTATAAAATAATGATCCAATCTATTTTTAAAAATATATGGGACTATATCATTGAAAACTGGAAGAACATATTCTGAAACATGACAAGAAGTTATCTTTGGGGGACAGGATAATGGAAAATTACTATTTAAGTATTTGTTTTGCTTTTCCAAATTTCCTATATTAGTTTTATAATCAGAAAAAGTTATAAAAAAGAAACTTCTTAATAGGTTACATAAAACTTATAACAGTTTTGCTATTCATTTATTACTTGAGAGATAACATGAATTCTCATTAGAAATATCCCATGCGTATTACTTGACTTATCGCAAAGCATACTAAAATCAATAATATCTAACAACAAACATCAAAATATCTAAAATTAATTACAGTAAGCTCTAAATTCTGGTAAAAGGTGAAAAGATAGTAATGAAATTAACAATGGGATCAGCAACACAATTTAAAAAATCGACTAAAGTTTAAAGCACTATTCCTTTCCTCTACCCATAGTGTGGATGAGGACAAATCATTACATAACCAAAAGGTAGGCAACAGGAAGGAAGGCAAAGAGAAGGCAATTTGCATGTAACAATCAGGCCCTGAATAATATGATCACAAGTAAACAATGCAAAACCAATGCTTTAAACATTATAACAATAGTTTATATTTATAAATCCTTATGACAGTTTAATAGACATTGTCACCTACATTTATTAATTCATCAAATCTACAAAATTGCCCTACTATGAATGCATTAAAAATTATCTCATTTTATACATTTAAAAAACTCTAAGGCTTAAATAGTTATTATTTGGGAATCTGTGTTTTGTTCTTTGTGGATTTTGTTAGGGTACCAGGGCCATTAATCAAAGCCAGAAATCAAAGTCAGAGTTTTTGCTGAATGAGTCGAATAATTTTGCTGTACACAGATTATCTTTCCTTACTGGAGTGAGATAAATAACATTTTACTTAATCAAAATGTCTTTATCTAAGTGGGCTGTCTTCATTACCTGATAATTTTTATAGTTACTAGTTGAAAATGACAGAGGTTTATTCAAACACCAACCCTTTAAAACTTTTCTGCATCAACTTTGAAATTTACCCCATATTCATACATACATCGCCATAACCAAGACAATAAAAGTTTGTCTGTTCAGCTTTTATTATCAGTAGCCTATCTAACTGTTAGCTGTTTCAAAATTAATTAATTAATTAATTTATTTATTGAGATGGAGTCTCGCTCTGTCGCCCAGGCTGGAGTGCAAAGGTGCAATCTTGGCTCGCTGTAACCTCTGCCTCCCAGGTTCAAGCGATTCTTCTGCCTCAGCCTCCCCACTAGCTGGGATTACAGGCTCCCGTCACCACGCCCAGCTAATTTTTGTATTTTTAGTGGAGACAGGGTTTCACCATATTGGCTGGGCTGGTCTCAAACTCCTGACCTCGTGATCTGCGCACCTCAGCCTCCCAAAGTGCTAGGATTATAGGCGTGAGCTACCACGCCCAGCCCAATTTTATCTAAATTTGAAATCCCTAAAGATAAAAAATGTTTTCTGTTCCCCATCAAATAACTGCAATAATCTAACTCTATCACTCACAAAATATTATTTTCCCGCTACAGTTCTTTTCACTGATCTGACTTCTGTACTGTTACCTCTCAGTGCCTTAATCTCCTCCCATTCTTCCCCTTGTTCACTCCTCTCCAACCCTGTCAGGTTCCTCAAAGCTCCTCGAACACCCTAGGCACACTCCTGCCTCAAGGCCTTTGTATTTGCTCATCTTCTAGAATGTTCTTCCAGCTCTCTAATTTCCTTAAGTGCTTCATTCACCACTTGTCTTCTCTTGGTGGACTTCCCGGAACTGTGTATGTATAAAAAATTTAACTCCATCCTGGCTAACACGGTGAAATCCCGTCTCTACTAAAAATACAAAAAATTAGCTGGGTGCGGTGGCGGGCACCTGTAGTCCCAGCTACTTGGGAGGCTGAGGCAGGAGAATGGCGTGAACCCAGCAGGCGGAGCTTGCAGTGAGCCAAGATAGTGCCACTGCACTCCAGCCTAGGCGAAAGAGCGAGACTATCTCAAAAAAAAAAAAAAAAAAATTTAACTCTCCACTCTCCTGGCTTCACTTTTTCTCCTTACCATGTATCACTATCTAACATACCACATGTAATTACTTATTCATTCTGTGTATCTCTATCTGCCTCTGTAGACTGTAAGCCCCATTTGGCTCAATCTCTGTCTATTTTGTCACCAAAGTATCCCCAGAACCTAAAATAATACCCAGCTTGTAGTAAGCCCTCAATACAATATTTACTGAATATATGTCAAATTTTAAATTTGATTGCATTCTATTAGCAAGCAACACTATTAGAGCATGTGATTTCTTGTCTAAATCACTGGTTTGTGCATGACTCTAAACATTATTTTCTTCCCTATCTGTAAAGAAAACTAAGTATTTTATAATATAATCATAGTTCAGCCCACAGATTTCCCCACTAAAGATTTTCAGGTTCATAAAAGTTAAGTACATTCTTATAGTCACACAATTGTCTAAAGATGACAGTAAGAATGAAAGCTGTTTTTTTTTCTAATTTCAATAGGTTTTTGGGGAACAGGTGGTGTTGGGTTACATGAATAAGTTCTTTAGTGGTGATTTCTGAGATTTAGGTGCACCCATCACCCAAGTAGTGTACACTGTACCCAATGTGTTTTATCACTCACCACCTTCCACTTTCCCGAGCCTCCAAAGTCCAATGTATCATTCTTATGCCTTTGTGTCCTCATGGCTTAGCTTCCACATATGAATGAGAACACACAATGTTTGGTTTTCCACTCCTGAGTTACTTCACTTATAGTAATAGTCTCCAATTCCATCCAGGTTGCTGTGAATGCCATTATTTCATTCCTTTTTATGGCTGAGTAGTATTCCATGGTGCGTGTGCGTGTGTGTGTGTGTGTGTGTATCACATTTTACTTATCTACTTGCTGATTGATGGACATTTAGGCTGGTTCCATATTTCTGCAATTGCAAATTGTGCTGCTATAAATGTGTGTGTGCAAGTATCTTTTTCATATAATGACTTCTATGAAAGCTAGTTTAAAGTAAGGAGGCTGGCTAATACAAAACAAAATATCCTCTCTGCTCTTTTCATAGACTGGGAAGGACTAGGATTTGCTTCAGAAAACCTATGTTTGATGTCTTTTACTATCCTTTACGGGTACATGGGCCTGGCATGTGCAACTTAAAACTTCAAAACTCAGGGTACTACTCTAAGTTTGAAATAAGTTAACATGTACAAAGGCACTTTGAAATCTACACTCTTTTCTCTTTTCTTCTCAAAGACAAAGTTGCTGGAGGAGTAGAACGCCATCAGGCAACTGATGGCATAGACTCACCTCATCATGAACCAGCTCTAGTGGCTCTATCATATACACGAAGGTATCATCTTCAAACATGCCACTAGCACAAAAGAAACCACACAAAGGAGGGAATAAACAAACACAGGAAATGGCAAGAAATAGCAAGTGAGCTTCATTATTGTGTCTTCAAAATAAAGAGTATAACTGAACAAATCCCTTTACACTGTCACAAGTTTAATTCACATATCTGCATGGAGTCCCAGTGTGGCCCCAGCACTCTATTAGGCAGCATGGAGGCTATAAAAATTATAAAAGTATACATCAAATGCATGCAAATTATACCTGATATAACTGATGTTTGAAATTCAACAGACAGATTAGAAAATTACTCTGAGATAGGACTATTCACTCAGTGGCAGTCTCTAAAGTAATTATTCCAGAACCATGTACAACTATACAAATTTCTAATTATGCAAATTCAATATCATCTGTAAGAAAACAGATTCTTTATATATGAGAATAATCTAAAACCATCTGGTTCTGAAGAAGCAAACAGTGGTATCTTTACGCTTATAAATTCTGAACTGCCATCAAGCAGTATGACTCTATGTCATACAAATTACATTTAATTTTCAGGGACATAAGGTTTTTTATAAAAGGGCGAAAAGTTTCAAGATTCTTTGTCGTCACATGGCCGAAACTAAGTCTTTATATGAGGTGCTACTGTGTCCAGGTCTAAAAGGTGCCAACACATGGTTTTGTTAGAGCCCACCCCTAGGTCAATGTGCGAACCCCTCTCTTTGTCACCCCACCCTTGCCTGGCTAACTCCAACTTACTGTTAGGTCTAAGTTTCTTAGATCTAAGGCCTACTGACTCTCAAGTCTAGCTGTAGGTCTAACTGATATGTCCTCTGGAATATGCCGCTGGGAAACCTTCCTGGACTAGGTTTTGCCACTCCACAAGCATCTGTCCTTCCCCTTTACAGCTCTTAACACAATGGTGATTAAACATTCATCTATGTAATCATTTGGTTAATCTCTGAATCTCCTGCAAACACTAAGTGTTCAAGAGGACAGGGACATTGCCCTCCTTGTGCACCACTCCACATGCAGTCCCTAACACAGCACTGGCACGGAAGAGTCACTAAAATATATATATCCATAAAAGGGAAACTGGAAAGGGTCAATGAATAAAATGCCAATGAGATTCCCACTTACTGAAGTCCATTGCAGGTTGACAGAGCCACCTTGGAGTCTTTGACGCCTCTGATGCTTCCATGGTAGTAACAGTGCTCTCCACCCTGGAAAGCAGGTTTCATTGATTGGTTGTATTTTATGCATTATGATTAATTCTTTGGGTGCTTCCATAAAGCAAAAAGAAATGCAAGGATGGGCATATATGTGCACTGTATTAATAACCCTAGAAACTCCTCCTATATAAAGTTGCAAATAAGACTAGGCAATTTTTCAACTTTTTTATAACAAGCATGTGTGTGTTAAATTGAATGAAGGAGAAAAGGCTTTAAAAAACAATGACACCAAGGTAATTAATAAAACATACATTTCTTAAGTATGTATTGTAGGAGTACAGGTACTTTTCAGATGTTGTTATAGAATAAGGACTTCCACTTGACTGAAGAGAGACTCCAAAAGTTTGTTTATAATCATTTTTAATGGAAAATTATACAATATCTTATTTGTTTTCTTACCTTTAAAAATTAACTTTAAAAACATTTTAGAAGCAATATATGAATGTAGTTTTCAAAGTCAAATAATAACTACAAGTTTTATTTTTAAAAAAACACAGCAGTTTCCTTTGTCCCTCTTTCCCCTCCACCTCCAAGGCAACCATTTTTAATGTTTTAAGCTGTTTCTTCTGGTGTTTGGCTATATATTTTTGAATGTTTATACTTTTTATGTTCTGACTAATTCCATTTTAGAAATTATCTACCTAATATAGGATCTCGAAAACCTCTCTCACCCCCAGTACATTCTAATTCATATCACCAGTTTTAGTTAAATCTATATTCATTGTTTATGTGTACACAAATATTGTTCACAGCTCTGCCACTATAATTATTGTATTTTCATTCTTGCTCCATTTTTATTTATTTATTTATTTTTAGAATTTTTGCTCCTTTGTTGTACTGGGTACTCTGTGACACTTTTATTTTTATTTTTTTCTTGGAGACGGGGTCTTACCCTGCTGCCCAGGCTGGAGTGCAATGGCGTGATCTCAGCTCACTACAACCTCCGCCTCCTGGGTTCAAGAGATTCTCCTGCCTCAGCCTCCTGCTGTGACACCTTTTAATCAAGAAAACTATGCACTTCAGTTCTGGGCAGCTTTTTAAAATAAATAATAATAAATTTTTATTATTATAAAAATAATATTTATAAATAATATTTATAAAAGAATTTTATAATAATAAAAATAATAATTTTTATTATTTATAAAATATAGCTGAGAATTCTCTCCTATCCATTTTTTTCCATACATGAGCTCCTACCAGACTAGGGAAGTCCCCGACTTCCTATCTGCTTATCTGGCTCCACAGGGCAGGCAGTGAATTGGGGACTTAACCGCTCTACATCTACTTTCAACCAATTTTTCTTTTTTCAGATGCTTTTATTTCTGCCTTTCTGGGATAAGTGACATAAGTTGACTTGTTTCTTCTTGGTTTCCCCCCATACGAACTTAGCAGAGCATGAAAAGCTCAAAGCTAAGAGTCACTCCTCATCCACTTTCCATCTCCTGAAATTTTATGGCTACATCTCACCTGCTTGTTTTCTCTTCTCCTGTCTTTGTATTGGTGGGTTCATATCCTTTTTTATCCCCTAACTGTTATTTAGGTGGGTTATCGGGAGAAAACAGAGATAAATATATATTTATAAAGTCAGGGATTGGTTCTAGAACTCCTACATATTTCCCAAATCTGCACATACTCAAGTCTCACAGTCGGCCCTGTGGAAACCACATATATGGAAAGTCAGCCCTCTATATGCACAGGTTTTGCATCCCACAAATACTGTGTTTGGTTGAAAAAAGTCTACATATAAGTGGACCCGTGCAGTTCAAGGACAACTGTGTGTGTGTGTGTGTGTGTGTGTGTGTGTGTGTGTGTGTGTGTGTGTGTGTACAGTGAAGGGCTGCTTTTCTTTTCTTTTCTTTTTTAAAGACAGTCTCACTCTGTCGCCCAGGCTGGAGTGCAGTGGCATGATCTCAGCTCACTGCAACCTCTACCTCCCAGGTTCAAGCAATTCTTGTGCTTCAGCCTCCTGAGTAGCTGGGATTACAGGCATGCACCATCGTGCCTGGCCTTGAATCACTGTATTTTTTTAAACTTAAATGAGACTTCAGGCAACATCCAATCTCTGATGTTTATCATCATAAGAAAGTTTTAATAGCTAAATTGTGTAGTTATATTAAACATTATAAACAATTTGGTAGCTTCCAATTTAATATTAGTACTAGCAGTATTAGAGGATTTTCTGATTTTTTTATTACTAAATTAATACCAAGTTTTTAAAGAGTACTATGGAAAAATATTATTTGGTAACACTTCAGACCACTGCAAAGTAAGATCTTGAGTTATCTCATATAAAATAAATCCTGAGAGAGAAAGAGCAATCCATCTTGGGTGCCAAGCATAACAGAAGTGGGCCAGTACAGGGAGCCCACTTCTTAAGGGCACTGGCAATCATGACTTTGGACAGTCAGCTCCAGGGGTGCCTTCCACCCAGGGATCTGGCCATCTTCAACAACCATTACCTCACAGTGACTGCTGTCTCCATGTACCCATATGGGGACAGAAACAAAGTGCAAAAGGCTCTTCTAAAAATAACAAAAAGACAAACTGATTCCCACATCTTCAGGTTCTCAAGTCCATGTTTCTTTCTCCAGTTAGGAAGACCTCAGACAATTAAAGAGGGCTGGCCCTGACCACCTAGGAGTGGGTCACAGACCTGTGACGTGGCAAATGGCAGCAGGGACAACCAAAAAGGGCTCGATTCAGCCCATGACACAAGTCTCTGTGCACCCATACAGACATCAGCATTTTCGGATCCAAAACTGTCAGTTAATTAAATTCAACAGAAATGGAGCATCTGATAAGTGGAAGTTATTGGCTAGTCACAGGAAATTAAAAATCCTAGTATGCTCCCTACCTTTCTCAGCCTGCTACTTGCACATAGCTGAACACTCCACAAGCCATATCATGCTCAAATAATAACTCTGCTCCACAAGGTTTCCAAGCTCAGAATCCCATTGGAACCTACCAGGCTTCCTCTTCATATACTGACACATTGAAGCCATGTCCATCTTTTAAAATACTTCCTAACCAGAAATGGCTGGGGATAATAACTTTGTGAGTCTAGTGATTACAACTTGTAGGGAAAAAAAGATCCAGTTCTCTGGTATTACTAATCTAATAACAGGAACTGGACAGGCATCATGGCTCATGCCTGTAATCCTAGCACTTTGGGAGGCCAAGGAGGGAGGATTGCTTAAGCCCAGGAGGAGTTTGAGACCAGCCTGGGCAATGTAGAAAGACCCTGCCTCTATAAAAAATAATAATGATAATAATAATAATAGTAATAACAACAGGAACTGTTTGATTCTACTCATTTTAGTGGAAATAGAACCAATAGTTTTAATTTGGTTTTTAAAAGCACCCCAACTTTGTGTCTAATTATTCCATCTGCATGGTAAAGTTCCATCAGCCAGTTCTTTACTGCTTATGAAACTCCCAAAAACCTGGACATTGATAGTGACCATACACTGATATTTTCAATCTATTCCTGCAGGTCTGGATAAACATTTGAAAAGAAACTACACAGTCCTTAACTAGAAAATGTGTATATTATGATATCTAGGTTCTGAATACAATAATAAAAACTACTGACACTATACTCAAATGATTATTCTATATACATATCTTTAAATTCTTCAAGCTTATCAACTACTAGGATATGCTAAACTATTTTAAAAATCAGTGAGCTGATAACAAATGAGAAATAGAAAAAGATATCTATAATGGGACATGTATACCTGATTTTGAGTACTGCAGAATAAGGAAATAAAAAACAATAATTTTGGAGACTTGGGGAACTTGAGACTCCCAACACACAAATTATTAAATAATTTAATTATTTACCTTCATTAAATTTAATGGGGAAAATGTTCTTGCAGTAGTTTAATAAAGTATTAGAACAGTTTGGCTGTACCAATGCTATGTAAATTTTTAATAGTTCACATAAATTATACTATTCAAACTTAAAATAGCTTTGTGAGGACTAGTGTCATCTGCTATCTTGATTTCTTGGGGCATTTTTTAACCCCGTGCTCCTTTCATATTCTATAATGTACTCCGAATGTTGCCAGGAAGGTCAATATTTTGAATGATTAATAATAATTTCAACTTTATACTCAAAATTCAAATAACTGATAATCCTGGATCTAATTTAAGTGATTTAGTGTGGATAGTTCTGTTTTCCTTGTTATTGCTTAAATTATTATTTATGCAGTGGTAAGAAACTTTTTAAAAAACTGGCTATTAATTCAAAGACTAGGGAAAAAATTCTAGTGTACACGCAAGTAAAAGAGTCATTTTTAGTATAGGAGTGGAAATACAAACTTTAAGTTATCTCTGGTTAGAAACAATACAAACACGAATTTTTAAACCCAATTATGGCAAGCTGAGAGGCAGTAAAAAAGAAGGGAAAATAGATTTAAAAAATAGTCTGAAAACTTCATTAAAATATTACTAAAAGAAGAGGGAATGAGAAAAATAAAGGAAAGGAAGCAGAAAGAGGTGGGGAAACACTCAGAAAAGGGAAGACAGGCAGACCCGTGTGTCTGAAAATACCCTGACTCCAATACAGCACCTCGGCCAGACTCTGACTGACTTCTGCAGGGCCCACCCTCCCTTACTCATACACTGGACAGGGTCTTCAGAACACGCACTCCTCCAATCTCTTCCACTCTGCATCAACCCTACCTCCCAGCCAGGAGCCACGCGCACAGAGACCTACTCCACCTGATCACAATCCATGCTCTCCTGCTGCCAAAAACCCTTCACTCTTAGAAGCGAGCTTGAACTGAGCTGTGATGATGATTTGATAAGGAAAGCACAAAGAACATTCTAAAAGGGTGATGTGGTTATACTGATAAAGAAAAGAATAAAGGTGAGAAGAGAACACAGGACCCATAAGGGCAGGGATCTTTATCTGTTTGGTTCACTGATACATATCTAGTACCTAGAACAGGAACTATGACCTCAAAAAGGTCACAGTACAAGGTAAATCAATATTTTTTCTGCTTTTTTGTTTTCTAAAAGTTGTATATATCAGGCCAGGCACAGTGGCTCATGCCTGTAATCCCAGCACTTTGGGAGGCTGAGGTGGGTGGATCACTTGAGGTCAGGAGTTCGAGACCAGCCTGGCCAACACGGTGACACCCCGTCTCTACTAAAAATACGAAAATTAGCCAAGCGTGGTGGCACGTGCCTGTAATCCCAGCTACTCGGGAGGCTGAGACAGGAGAATCTCTTGAACCCAGGAAATAGAGGTTGCAGTGAGCTAAGATTGCACCACTGCACTCCAGCCTGAACAACAGAGTGAGACACTGTCTCAAAAAAAAAAGTTGTGTATATCTAAAATATACAACATGATATTTTGATATACATAGTGAAATTATTACTATAGTCAATCAAATTAACATGTCTTATTTCTACCTCACAGTTACGTTTTAAGCGTGTGGCGTGACCACCTAAAATCTACTCTCTTAGCAAATTCCCATCATACAATATGACTGACCATAGCCCTTATGCTATCCATTCCATCTTTAGACTTAGAGCCTATATAACTGCAACTTTGTACCATCTGACCTACATCTCTCCAACCCACCACCCCACTCCCACCCCTCCACCTCCTGCCCCTGGTAACCACTGTTCTATAAGGTTGGTGCAAAAGTATTTGTGGTTTTTGACATTACTTTCAATGGCGAACACCGCAATTGCTTTTGCACCAACATAAATACATATTCGACTTTTTTAGATTCTACACATAAGTGAGGTCACAGAATATTTTTCTTTCTGTGTCTGGCTTATTTCAACACACACACACACACAAACACACACGCAATGGAATAGCATTCGGCCTTAAAGAAGGAGATCCTGGCATTTGCCAAATATGGGTAGACCTAAAGGACATTATGCTATACAGTAAAACCATATTTGTTTAATGAATGAACAGGAATGGCTTATTCATGAGCATATGTGACAAGACCAATCCTAAAGGATTCTTGTTTGATGAAGAGGGTGGGTAAATAAACTCTTATTCCCCACCTGGGTTTTTTATTGTTGTTGTTATTTAGATATAATTCAGAAATCATAAAGTTTACCTTTTTAAGTATAAAATTCAGTGTTTTTCTTCGCATATTCACAGAGTTGTATAACTATCCCCACTATGTAGTTCCAGAATAGTCTCATCACCTCAGAAAAAAGTCCTGTAACCATTAGCAATCAGTTTCCATTTCTCCTCCCCTCCACTCCACCAGGCCCTGGCAATCATGAACCTACTTTCAGTTCCTATGAATTTGCCTATTCTGGACATGTCAAATAAACAGAATCGTATCATATGTGCCCCTTCGTGTATGGCTTATTTTACTTAGCATAATGTTTACAAGATTTATCTTTTGGTGTAGTATGTATCAGTGCTTCATTTCTTTTATGACTGAATAGTAATTCCACTATGTGGATATGCCATATTTCCCTTATTCCTTCAACAATTGAAGGACATTTAGGGTGTTTCCACCTTTTGGCTACTATGAATAATGTTATGAACATTTATGTACAAGTTTCTTTGTGGACATATGTATTTAATTCACTTGAGTATATGCCTAGGAGTAGAACTGCTGGGTGATATGGTAACTCTTTGTTGAACTTTTTGAGGAACTGCCAAACTGTTCTGCCAAGCAGCCACACAACATTTTACATTCCCACAAGCTGTGTATGAGGGTTCCAATCTCTCCACAATCTCGACAGCACTTGTTATTGTCCATCATTTTCATTATAGCCATCCTCATAGGTATGAATTGGTGCCCACCCAAGTTTAAAACTAAATGAGAGAGTGACATAGAATTGAAACATCAAAATGTCACCTTCATTTATTATAGAGCTATACTGGAGGAGAGGATTAGTTGAGAATCTAATAGGCCTGCTAATGCTGCACCCAGGAGTAGCTAGCCTTACCCACCCAGGCAGAGACAATGTGGGACAACCTAACCCCAGCCACATACACACATGTGGGTGGCCACAGTACAATTCAGAGAAGAGAAAGGTGGAGAGAATGTACTCTTCTTGTAGGAAGGTAGATCCTACAAAAAAAAAAGAAAAAAAAAGGGAGGGAGGAACTGGCTGCACAGACATACTTTCCCAGCAGTCAAGCCGCTCTTCCTTCCCTGAGCAAGAATGAGCAACGGAATAGGAAGAAGCCAGGGTGAGGAAATAGACCTAGGAAAAGAAGCCTTCCCCACCTAATAATGATAGTAATAAGGTAGAGGGAAGTTGGGATGGAGGCACTTCATCTATTTATTCATCATGACTGCTGACGTAAGCAGAAGAGAAATCAAAGTATTAGTAAGCACTTACAAATATGTATTAGCAGCTCACCAAAAAAGACTTAATAGAAATATGTTAATTTTGAAAAGTACTTTCATAGTGTTTTGTTGATGCTTATTATTTTATAAGAACTGAAATGCTAAAAATTAACTTATTTAAATAGGCTCATCAGCAAAGTTGGTCAACAAATATATAGTACTTGAAACATGCTAAGAGGGTGGATCTTAAATGTTCTCACTACAAAAAAAAAAAAGATAACTATGTGAGGTGATGGGTGTGTTCATTAGCTTGAGTGTGGTGACCATTTCACAATGTACCAACATATCAACCTGATGTTTTGAATAATACATACAATTCCTATATATACAATTTAAGTTACATACCTTAAATATATGTAATTTCTATTTTTCAATTATATCTCATTAAAACTAGGGACGAAAAAGGAAACTAGTCACAAAGGCCCACCTATTATATTATTTCATTTATGTCCAGAATAGGCAAATCTATTGAGATAGAAAGTATTAATAGATTAGTGGTTACCTATGGTTGGTAAAAGAGAGACTGGGGAGCAACTGTTAACAGGTGGTGTGGTTTCTTTATGCAGTGATGAAAATATTCTAAAATTAGATTATGTTGATGGATGCACAATTCTGTAGATATACTAAAAACAATTATATGCTTTATGATACATAAGTTATATCCCAATAAATTTGTTTAAATAAGAAAAGTAAATAAATTACTTTTTAAAGTTGTAAAAAAATCAACAAAATAGTTTTATTATATATTATGTGCAAAGCACTGGTAGGAACTTAAACAAAAGCTATTGCTCCATCAAGTGCAGAACAAAAGTTCTTCCTTATTCTTGGACTGATACCTAGCATTCATATTACACGCTTCTTTTGGACCTCTCGAGCTCCTATATTTGCTTCACATGGAAAGAAGCACTTTTAACCCATGTCCATGCAATAAAAGTAAAAGCCAAGACATTAATCTTTTCTTAGTGAGAAGTAAGAATGAGAGAGGGGCTTGTTAGTGGTGAAATGGGAAAACCTAGACAACCCTCTTTGCAAAGTATGGTTGCAACTAATTCCTGGGATGCTGTCAATATCCACATTCACATTTAACTTCATAGCCAAATAGACTGTTCTTTAGTTACGTGGAAAATATTGTGTGTCTACATGTGTGTGTACAATGTGTGCATGTACTTTTCTCTAAACAATTTGAGATCTTTGAGCCGGGCACGGTGGCTCACGCCTATAATCCCAGCACTTTGGGAGGCTGAGGCGGGTGGATCACGAGGTCAGCAGTTCGAGACCAGCCTGACCAACATGGTGAAACCCCGTCTCTACTAAAAATACAAAAAAAATTATTTGGGCATGGTGGCAGGTGCCTGTAATCCCAGCGACTTGGGAGACTGAGGCAGGAGAATCGCTTGAAACCAGAAGGTGGAGGTTGCAGTGAGCCGAGATTGCACCACTGCACTCTAGCCTGGGCAGTAAAAGCAAAACTCCATCTCAAAAAAATAAAAATAAAAAAAACAATTTGAGATCTTTAGGGGAAAAAAGGCTGCATTATGTGAAAATAAGTTTAACCTAGCCATTCTTACATATTAATTTCCTTTTCTGGTACTCTGTACAAAGATTTTCTGAAGCAGCATAAAAGACAATCTTCATGAAGTTTATTTACAAATGCTTTAAAAATATATATATATATGTAATGGTGGTGGGAATATGAATTTATACAAACTTTCAGAAATAAAAATTGTTAATATATATGAAGAGTGTTAAAAAATTGTACCAACTCTTTGACCCAGAAAATTCCTTTCTCAGAATTAATTCTGAAGCAATTATAAGGGATGTATTCAAAACGTATCTGGAAGGCCTTCCCTTGAAGTTATTCGGATAGTGAAAGATTGGAAAGAGTCAAAATGTCTATCACCATGGCATTTTTAAACATATTATAACAAATGAATTAGAAATAATATTATGAAATTTTTAAAAATTAAAGGTTTAGAAGATTACTTAATATATGCTAAAATATTTAAAATTTTGCTACATTTAAAAAATCTTGATATAAAATAGTGTGCACCATATCATCTTGGGTTTTTCTGATGTACATAAATACAGACACATAAAAAACAGACTGTTAGTTCATTATCTATGAAGCACGTAAGTTTGGGTATATGAGCTGTTTGAAGAAAATGGGTCATGAAAGAGAGAAAAGCAGTGAACACAAAAACAAACTGCAGTGAACACAATTTCTTTTGCTAGAGTTGAAATACCTTTTAAGTTTTAGTTACAACTGATATCAGATTTGGAGTGTCTTATTAATGATAAGGTCTCCTTTTGGGACCTCAAATGACCTCTGGAGGCCAATTAGCTATTCTGTTTCTTTAAAAAAAAAAAAAAAGTAACTAAGTGCCTTAGTGAGAAGTCTGGATCAGGTTTCTGTGTCCTGCAAATGTGGCTCGTTTGCTGAGTCTATAAAGTTCCCTGCAATCTTGTCTACTCCAGGCTCATGATTCAGCATCTGCAGTGCTCAGGGCCCTGGCACAGCTGACAGAAGCTTCAGTTTGTACAAATGCCAGGAAGCTTGTTCCCGCGCTTGATTTAGCTTTTCTGCTCACTTTCCACAGCACTAACTTTTAGGGAGACTCAACAACCCCCAAATGCAACCTAAGGCAAGAACTGACAACTAATAAGAATGATACATGAAAGTTCTTAATCTGTGGCACAAAACTCAAAGGCTGGAAAACACGTCCAATTACAAATTGAAATGTTATAAATCCTGAGACATGCCAGGGCCTCCTGAGCAGTATTTATAATGAAGGACACCTATAAACATTTGCTGAGAAGCCATCAGATTGAAAATCCCAGTTACCTATATGGCACAAGTCCACATACGGGAAAGGTGCTACTTTTATGCTGACATGTGTTAGCAATCTAGGAAAAAGACAAACAAAAATCCAGTGAGGTTTCCCCACTTTGTTTCCTTTCTGGTGTCCCCAGTAACTGGGACACTGCTCAGGTTCAGTGGCACTTGTTGATTCCCTAGAAGTCAGAGTTTCTTTCTGTAGCCATTCTGGGGATCTTCACCCTGACTGACGGAGGTCACTGTTTCTTACATACAAATCATCTCTCTCTCTCTCTTGCTTTAATCCAAATCCACTTGCTCTTTATTAATCCTCCCTGAAGACAAGAAAGTTCATCTCCAAATGAAGGAATCAGATACCCAAGTACCCTCATATTCAATGTCCCGTGGCCTTAAGCAGGCTTATTTGCCCTCTCTCTGCCTTAATTTCTTCCATAGTACAGCAGGAATAATAACATCCACCTCATAGAATTGTTATGAAGGTTAGAGAAAAAGTACTACCTAAATCTCACTTCCCCCACCTGTCCTCTGCCCTTCTTGGGCAGCAAAATCATTTGCACTAAAGAACCGTTCTAACAGCCCATCCAGTCTTCTAATCCAGATTCGATGGCCATGAGCCTCATCCTTCTTTACTAACTACTTTCAGGTGCTGATATGGAACTGTATAGCTCTTTATACTATCACAAAAGGTACTGCATGTATAATCAAAACAATAAACATTTTTTGTCCTGAATACCTAACGTTACCTCAAACATTTGTATATTTTAATAAATTTCTCCTCACTAAAAATAGTATCATTGTAAAAGAGCACAGGTGATTTTACTGAGACAGACGTCAAAACAACGCAGTGTGCACTGATCAACTCTATGATAAGCACACTTATACTAGAGTACTTGCCGACGCCGGTAACCGTACCTTAGAGTACTGTGGTTTCCCATTTTCGTAGTGAATCTCCACATAATCAGAAGACAACAAACCACTACAAAGGAAAGAAAATAGAGTGATTTCTGCATCTAAGACACTTGGAGGTTTAAAAACAATCGGCTCAATAAATGAACGTGAGGGGCATGCAAACCAGAAATAGCTGCAGTCCATGGTTAGTACAGAAACAAAAACAGGTTATCATCGAGTTTCACACAGTATCCAGGAATAAATTACTCCCCAATCTGCAGAAAAAAAAAAAAAAAAAAAAAAGACAAGACACAGACAATCCAACGGTGAACTCTTTTTTTTTTTTTTTTTCTTTTTGAGACTGAGTCTCGCCCTGTCGCCCAGGCTGGAGTGCAGTAGTGCGATCTCGGCTCACTGCAAGCTCCGCCTCCCGGACGGTGAACTCTTTTTATTCACATTATTCAGGATCTGATTGATATGTTAATTAATACAGAACAAACCAAAAGGCAAGTAACTTGAGGAGACAGATCCTATAAAAATTCCACAATTATGCCCTAAACAGTTGGAATGTCATAAAATGTAATCACCAAGGAAGAGTATAAAGCAAAGGTCAGCAAGGGTTTTCTATAAAGGCCAGGGAGTAGATATTTTAGGTTTTGTGGGCCATGCGGGCTCCACTACAACTACTCAGCTCAGCCATTATATTGCAAAAGCAGCCACGGGCAGTATGTAAACAAATGAGCATGGCTGTATTCCAATAAAACTGTATGGACACTGAAATTGGAATTTCACATAATTTTTATGTGTTATGGAATATTATCCTTCTTTTGATTTTTTTCAACCATTAAAAAATACATAAAACAAAGCCGGGCATGGTGACTCATGCCTGTAATCCCAGCACTCTGGGAGGCTGAGGCGGGTGGATCACGAGGTCAAGAGATCAAGACCATCCTGGCTAATATGGTGAAACCCCATCTCTACAAAAATACAAAAATTAGCCGCGCGTGGTGGCACGCACCTGTAATCGCAGCTACACAGGAGGCTGAGGCAGAAGAATCGCTTGAACTCAGGAGGCGGAGGTTGCAGTGAGCCGAGATCATGCCACTGCACTCCATCCTGAGAGACAGAGTGAGACTCCATCTCAAAAAAAAAATGTATATATACACACACACACACATATAAACATTCTTAACTTGCAGACTGTACAAGTTAAGAATGGCCAGAGATTGCTTGTGTGCAATAGTTTGCCAATTCCTGGGATAAAAGGAAGGGTAAGGGGTCAGGCACAGTGGCTCACACTTGTAATCTCAGCTTTGGAAGGCCAAGGCAAAGAATTGTTTGAGGCCAGGAGTTTGAGAACCAGCCTGGCAACATAGCAAGACCCCCATTTCCAAAATATTTAAAACATTAGCCAGGTGTGGTGGCATGCACCTGTGGTCCCAACTACTAGGGAGCCTGAGGTGGAAGGATTGCTTGAGCCCAGAAGATCGAGGCTGCAGTGAGCTACGATTGCACCACTGCACTCTAGCCTGGGTGACAGAGTGAGACCCTGTCTCAAAAGAAAGAAAAAGAAATTTAAAATAAATAAATAAATAACAAAGGTTAAGAAAGTCATTGAAGTCAAATAGTGTTTAAAACCTATTTTTTAAATAGGCAAGTTCCCCAACTTGTATGTCAAATGGAGATGGTCAAGGATGTGAATCTCATAGAACATTGTGAGGATTAAAGGAAACCATGAATATGCAGTATTTAACTCAGACTATGCAGTACTAGGCTAAGTACTGCATTTCTTAGCCTAGTACTTATTCAGTACAGAGTACTGAGTATGCTGATTAGGTACACATTAATTGGCATTGTGGCAGTCACTATTTTTATTTTAACTCAACTTCTTAAAACATATTTCTCCCTATACAATGTGGAAATACAAAATATGTGCCTCCTGAAGAGCACTGGATTATTAGGGCATCTAGGTTCCTGTTTGGGCTCTATCACTAGGAATAATGACAAGTGATAACTCGCATTTGCTGACCACTTACTATGGCACAGGTACTGTTATAAGGACTATAATGGTATTAACTCATTTAATCCTAATGGGAACTGAAGGACAAGAGTAGGTCCCACTCTAAGCCAGCTGTATGCTCTAAACTTGGGTCTTTATTTCTTCTTATGCAAAAATGAAGGGCTAAAGCAGAAGATTCCTCAGCTCATGCCCTATTCTGCTATTCTGATTTTCTATAATTTTGCCTCATAGTAGGTTTTCTTGTTAGGAAACCGTGACACTACTTCTTTAGCTGAAAAATGGGAGGACTCAATGATTTTGCATCATTTTGAGAGCTGCATCTGATGCATTCTAAAAATAATCCAGTGAAGAGGGCTGGAAAGGGGTGTTGAGCACCAGTCAACAGAGTAACTGGGGGCCTCCTGGGTATGTCCTGCGTATGTCCTGTGTGTGATGAAGGACAACCTTTCCAACACAGAAAGGAAGCCAATGCTTAAACTTTAGACATGTTTCCCATTAAAATCACAAACCAAATGTGTACTGAAGGATAATTCTACACTTGAAACTAAATTGTGGTATGTCTACTCATTCCTTTTTAAAAATCTCAGATAGTAAAAGTAATGACAATTACTGAACTCTGTATACATGGGGAATATCTCACAGGGTGCAGAAACTTATTTCACTGCTAGTTAATTAAGTTGGCTACCAGCACTATGATATACATAGATGAAGCTGGTGATGGTATCATTCTTCTGCAGAAAGCTTCTGCAACACCAGGAGGCAGAGAGGTCTCCCTAACTACATTCCAACTGTGTCTCTCTACAGGTAATTTACTATTTTCAACATTTTCAACCACACAATCATTGGAGCACATCTAAGAGTTGGAAACAACGTTATCTTAATTTTGCCTGTAATTACAAGGGCATTCTAACCATGAATTCCCAAATCTCATAAAGGTCACTTTAATTATCCTATTTCCCTCTTTTTAAGGGTCTCTTCTTCTCATGAACATACCTGTTTCTAGTATCTCTGGCATTTTAGAATCTTAAAGAAGAAAAACAGCTACTTTTCAGGAGGTCTATGGCAAATACTGAGAGAAATACACCACCATATGCCCCTCCTCACCATGCCAGTCCACTCTTCTACTTCCTGTAAATAGCACACATCCCCATTTACTCCATTCTTTCCTTCTGTCTGACCACAGCCAGCCTCCCTTGAAACTAATTATTCCACTCATCACAGTATCCCTAGCACCTGGCATAATGCCTAATGCATAGTAGGCCCTTAATCAATATCTGCTGAGTGAGCAAACATCTACCAACACCTGCTATAGGGGCTTGGAAACAGGGTGAAAAATGCAACTTTCAAATTGAAACTAAGCAAAATCAGCACAAATGTGCAAGATTGATCACCTCACTCAAAAATATTATTTTGTAATCTCCTTGAGAGTGAATTACATCAACTGAAATGTAACCTAATTAATTATAAAAGTCTTGAAATAATAGTGAAATGTAATTTTTGATGATGGACAAGAAACACTAAAAAGGGAGAAGGGAATAGTTGATTGTGCAGTGGTGTCTCCAGCCCCACCCAGCCAGGAAGGAACCGGTAATCTATGTCTCCACATGCCTGAAGATGAGTTGTCCTTTCCTCCACCTCTGCTTTCTGTAGTCCTAATACAATTTCCTGTTGGAAACAGAATGTTCTGAAATGCTAATACTCATCTATTTAGCAATTGCGGACCCAAATATAAACTGGCATTTTACTTTGTTGATCAGCCAATTGGATGTTTGGTTCTGAAGATGCTAACAACTTGTGGGCAAACTCTGAACATCCTAAATTCTAAAATAAACATCTTTTTTCAATCACTGAAGCTACAGAAAAGCTGTATTCTCTGGCTACTCCCATGCTTCTCATGCAGGTTATCTGTTGAAAGAGGAGTGACCTTTATAAGTAAATGAATAAACGTAGGATGGAAGTTCAAGCCAGTGAAAGAAAGTGGAAGAACTAGAACAAGGAAACTCTTGAACCCACTCACTCTGCCCTTCATGGTGAATCTGCACCACTAAAGTGGTGAAAACTCTAGGAACTCTAGAATGAGACTAAATATGATTTTACTCAAAATATGAAGAACATGTAAGAGCAGGAGAATATAAAACTATTGAAACATGACAAATGAGCCAAGAATCAGGTCAATGAAGGGAACTGTGGCAGAAATAATGCTGTGTGTCCACCAAATGCTATTTCATTTTCCCCTTCCTGGCATCCTGATAAGACCACATTTTGCAGGTTCTGCTGCAGTTAGGTTAGGGCCAAGACAATGGATCATGGCTAATGAGACATGAAGGAAGTGATGTCTGCCCCTCTAGTGTGACCACTAAAATCCCTGCAGGATTATCTAAGCCCTCTCTTCCATGGCAACCCTGGAAGCCACATGCTCCAGATGGCATAACAGAAATATGAATGCAGCCTAGACCCTTTCATCATGATTTGGAGAAGAACTGTCTAAAAGAGCTACTCAACTTGCACTATATCGCAGTGTGGGGAAGAGATAACATTTTACAGTGCTGAAGTCTCAGATTTCATGTTTGTCACTGAAACATTGTCTAAACTGTCCTAATTTCAGGATTTATCACAAATATCTTTTAGAAATCTATGTTCAAAGAATTTCACAATCATCAGCAACTATACAAGCAGAGCTGCTATTATATTTAGGAATTGGAAATTCACAAAAAGAGATTTACCTCAGGAAAGTTTTATATGTATGTGTATAGACGTGTGTCTGTGTGTGTCTGTGTGTGTGTGTGTGTGTGTGTGTGTGTGTGTGTGTGTATTTGTTGGAATCCTTGAATATGAGATTCATGTTTCTAATGTAAGTAGACACATAAACAGCCATGTGGTCAAAACTCCCAAAAGTTTATATCTTCCATTACAAGGAAGTTCCATATGGAGAAGCCAAGGATTCTAATAATTGGAAAAGTTAGGTACCAAGATTCCCTAGTATCTAGGAAAGCTATTAACCAAGAAGAGTAGATCCAGTTTTTTTGGAAAATAACTTGAACCCCTTACTTTAAACAAAGAACCAGCCAGACGCGGTGGCTCATGCCTATAATCTCAGCATTTTGGGAGACTGAGGCAGGCGGATCACAGGGTCAGGAGTTTGAGACCAGCCTGGCCAACATGCTGAAACCCCATCTGTACTAAAAATACAAAAATTAGCCAGGTGTGGTGGTGAGCGTCTGTAATCCCAGCTACTCAGGAGGCTGAGGCAGGAGAATTGCTTGAACCTGTGAGGCAGAGGTTGCAGTGAGCCGAGATCACACCACTGCATTCCAGCCTGAGCGACAGAGCAAGACTCTGTCTCAGAATAAAACAAAACAAACAAACAAACAAACAAAAATATGCTTCTCTTTGGAGTAATTCTGGTCAGAAAAGTTTAAGGGCAGGCTGATCAAAGAAAACAATTGTTCAGAACAAGACGACGTGGCTAACTGGGCCTTGGGCTATGAGGAAGGCTACTAGAAAAGATATACATTGGACCACAAAGGAAATCATTTTTTCTACATGACTTAAAATCATTTACTTCATTGTAAAAAGTGGTTGAACTACCAGTCTCTGGAAGTCCTTTCTAGTTTTAAAATCTGTATTCTCTGAAATTTTGTATTAAGCACTCAGTTTATTTCTAACTAGGAAATTGAGTGAGTTGCTGAGAACAAGCTTGTCTGAAGGAACCTAGAGGCCCACACAGCATTTCTTCACCAGCAGAACTAGGTAAAAAAAAGTCTAGATGAATAGTAGCAAGCACCAAGGCCTAACAACTGGATGGCCATATAATTTATCATCCAAACTAGGGCATTTGTGGAAATGAAAAGAGGCATATTAATAATTGTGCCAGGACAACAGACATACATAAACCAGGAAGGGCTATCCTGGGAAAACTGGGGCATATGGTCACCCTACCTAAAGGCCAAATTTAAGGTATACACATCGAGTTCTACATGGAAGGTCAGGTTGGTCTACAAGGTGGAAAATACTCAAAAGCTGAGATTCTAGTAAGCAAACAGTCTGTGAGTATGTCCTCTCCTCCAGTTGCTTTTGGGTTCTGTCATCATACTTCACATGGCCACTGATACAGTTTGGCTGTGTCCTCACCCAAATCTCATCTTGAATTGTAGCTCCCATAATTCCCACGTGTTGTGGGAGGGACCCAGTGGGAGATCACTGATTCATGGGAGGCAGTTTCCCTGATACTGTTCTCATGGTAGTGAGTAAGTCTCACGAGATCTGATGTTTTATAAGGGGAAACCCCTTTCACTTGACTCGCATTCTCTCTTGTCTGCCACCATGTAAGACATACCCTTCACCTTCCACCATGATTGTGGGGCCTCCCTAGCCAGGTGGAACTGTGAGTCCATTAAACCTCTTTTTCTTTATAAATTACCCAGTCTTGGGAATGTCTTTATTAGCAGAGTGAAAATGGACTAATACAGCCACTGTTTTAGGAAAGCCTTGAGTAGGTGCCTTAGGCTCTCTCAGTGCATAACATCAGTAGGTGGATCTGGGCAAGAGGAGTCAGCAGTGTAAGTTGTGGAAGTCAGGAAGCTATGAGATCACATTCACTGCAAGACACTGAACTTGTCAGGTGGTGACTAGCCATGCACCTTGCCATACATCTTTGTTCCTAAGTAAACAGTAGCACAAATACCCTAATTCAATTCTCAGTAGTAAAACATGTAAGTTACTTCCATATGTGTTCAAATTGGGACTGGAACAGAAGTTAAACAAACAGTAGAAAAATTAAATGATATCTAGAAAAGGAGTACCACAAATGCCCATATTTCTCATGCAAAGTCAGTCATCTGATTATCTGCTGCTTGAAAGTACTTAAGTTCTCAGTACTGGGAGCCCTAATCACACCTAAATGAGCGCTGACATTCATCCAAGAAGTCTCCTACCACCCCTTCCTTCCAGGTACACATTTCATTCATTTAATGACAACCAATGCTGTCACTGCGGAGACTCTCAACTTCATGGAGCCTCGAGCGTAGTGACATTGTTATGCCCAAGGCTCCATGAAGCCACAGTGAAGCATCGTGCCCGCTCCCTCTTTCCATTAGAAGCTTCTCTGTTTTGTCCTTTTATACACATAAGATATTTTAAATTCACTAGATAATTACTGTAAGTGGTAATGCAGACACAAAATTTAAACTCAATACATTCATATAAACATAAGCTTGTATCCTACAATTATGCTTGCTCTTATATTTCTTTTCTTTTTGTAACAGAAGACTTTAAAAGTATAACAATTTTTCAACCATTACTTTTCTAAAGTTTTAAAAAAAAAATAGACTCATACCACCTAAAATAGTTTTCATACCAAAAGTTGTTTCAGCTAAAAAATATACACTCCTTTGAGTGTAAACAATACAGTAAGAATTTTAAGCTACGTTAAAAGATCGAGGACATGGAGAGGCTGGGATTTAAGCATGTAGCAATGATATATTAAGTGGGTGAAAATAATTATAGGTTGCATAGAGGCTTTGCGTTAAGTCAGACAAAGATGGCATGCCCGGCAAGGGCTGGTAAGTGTGGGCACATTTCATAGGAACAGAACTGCAGGCAGAGAATGTTCCTAGCATGAATAGGTTATAGAGGTTTTTCTTTGGGGGTAACAAGAGAAATTTAATGATCTCCTAAACCATATGAGAGATTGCAGTGGAAATGTAAATGTGTAGGTACTCCTGCATCTCAGGTAATGGTCCCATTAGCCATAATAAAGTTTAGAAAACCCTAGTATAATGAGGACAGGAAACATAGGCAGGCCTGCAAGCTAATTGTAGAGTGGAGAAACAAAGAGTTAGGAGACTTGAGGTGATATAAAAGCTGAGAACCCTCACTCAGCTGGCTTGATCAGCCTAAAAGCCAGTGAGAGTTCCCTTCTGAGGAGGGTGGTATCAGAAGAAAAATCTTTAAATAAAAGATGAAAGATGTTTCGTTTCTTCCCCTTAACTTAAAGCTCGACCATATGAAGTGGATAACACATTTCTAGTTGTGGCTACCAGTGTCTCTCCAAGTTTCCAGTAATTTTGAGATTCCTTTATGACAGAATCATGGTTACTTTCACAATCTAGTTTTACCCCCGTATGTCATAAAACCAAAAAAAAAAAAATTAAACACAAGGAAAACTGGATCCAAATAAAAAAGGCCTATCTTCTGCACATAGTTACACATCACTGAAATGCTATGATGAACAAATTTCAAAGCTAATAATGAATGTAGTTGGTGACTATTGCTAATCCAGCTTCTTTTCTGATACATCCAATATTTATTAACATAACTATAAAGCAAGCATCACACATAGAGAAATTGCAGAGAACAGAAGAGGATCCATGATCAGCTTTGCCTTCTGGTAACCTTGTACAGAAGAAACTACTCTCTTCCAAGTCCAGTTTTTGCCACATTCTAGGAAAAGAACTCTTTTCATTTTTTTACTTTTTTCTTTACTTTTTTCATTTTTCATTCTATACAGAAAAACTGCACATCTGTTTATATGGTGTTCTATTCTTCCTAGGTATATATAAAATAGCCAAAAGAATAAAAAAGAAACCAACAGAAAAACTATCAGAAATAATAACAGTTAAGTAAGGTGACTGGTTACAAGATAAATATGCAAAAACAAAACACATTTCTAGATGTACAACCAACAAAAAACATCTAAAAATAATCTAGGGGGAAAAGTTTCTACTAACAACAACAAATTTTATATGTGTACAAATATAGTTGAATTTATTTATATATGTATAATGTACACAGAGATATATATATATGAATATACATACATATATATTTACATACATATATATAACCTATGAATAAACTTGGATTTAAATAAACATGAAGAATTATGTATACAACATGCAACTCATGAAAAAAAGAAAACAAGAAATATTCATGGTGATCAATCATACACCAACCTACAGCTGCACTAGCAATAAAATACCTGTGAATTAAAATAATGAAAGAGATCGTTTTCCCCCATCACTTTAGAAAATAAAAATGAATGACAGTAGCCACTGCTGGCAAGGATGTAGGAAAACTGGCATGCAGAGGGCAATTTGGCAATAGGTATCAAAAGCCCTGAAAGCATGTTCACCCTATAATCCACAAGTTCCACTCATAAGGGTTTCCTGAGGAAATGACTAGACAAAAAACAATACATGCATGATGTAGGTGAGAGCAGCTTTCAAGGCTTTCACACTTAGAAAGATGTTCACAACATCATTCAGTGAAAAGAAAAATAAAAGAATACTATGCTTGGCAACTTTTTAGAAGTATGTTTATATACATACATTCACATATAGAAAAATGTCTGAAAAGGTGTATACCAAATGTAGCAGTGAGCTACTGTTTCCTGCAGAACTTTCAAGAGTTTTTATTTTCTTTCTTTTGCTTAACTGTATTACCCAAAATTTTTACAATGAATGTATACTGCCATTTTAAGACGAAACCACAATACAAGCTATATTTTTAAAGGAAAAGAAGCATAGTTCCTTTAATAAAGGAATTATTTAATTAAGGACTAATTTCGAGTCCAGGAAACACCAGGAACCACAGACATTCACAATACCACCACCTACCATGCAGGGAGCAGCAGCTGACCAGGCTTTCCCTACATCCCCTAAACTCAATGAGACAGATGTTCCCTGAATATCAGCTGGTGGGAGTAGGTAAAGACAAAAAGAGAAACAAAATGCCTCTCACCGTCAAGGTGATTATAATCTCATTGCTAAAATAAGCCAAGGCAGCAGTTAGCCTACTACCATAAATAACAAACAAAGCATCAAGCAGCCCTCAAGGAGAAAATTAATTTCAATTAATATGATCAGGGAACCCTTTAGTGAAGAAGCAGGGCTTAGGCAGTCTCTACGATACAATTTGGACAGGGAAATATGGGCAGGAAAGAGAAGATCCTATAGACAGGGACCACTGTGTACAAATCCATGAAACAGGAAAAGGCAAAGAGGCCTATTCAGGGAAAAGCTAAAAGTCCAGTTGAGCTGGGGCATCAGTGATATGGGGCAATAGTGTTGAAAAGGTGGGTTTAGAAACAGTGATCCACAGGCTTAAGCAAGGGGTAGGACTTTCAAAGGAAAGGGAACTCTAGAACCAGAACTCAGAACTTGGAAGGCTATTTATAAAGGCTGAAAGCAAGCAGAAGCTGCAAAGACTTCAGGACCTGGGAAGGGCTGAACACAGATAAGATTCTTTTACTGGGTCAATTAGAGCCATCAGCAAAGTAATTAATGTTAGCAGCAGGAGAGAACGGCAAGAGACCAGCAAAGACATTAAGGAGCAGCCTCTCCACATATGAAAACCTGTGGCTTTAACTGTCCTCCACTCATTCAATTAACGGCCGAAGATACTGAGTGAGAGAAAAAAATAAGAAGAAGAGAATTAAAGAAATGATTAACAAAGATAAAGGTTTTTAACTAAATGTTGCCATTTCTTTAAATTCTTTCACTGTAAGTTATAGATGTTTGTCCTAAAATTTATTATGCAAATGCTAATGTGTACTTTGTAATTTTACACTGTTTTAATAAAGGAAGAGTAAGATTTTTGTAGAACTACTACTATTGTCTTTTGTGTGCTCTCTTCCTCTCTTTTTGTCCTACCTAGGAGAAGCCCAACTCTTGATTTCTCCTGCACCACCACAACCTGAGCCTGGAATATATCTACTGGCTGAACTGAGACAGGGGCCTCTGTAGAGCAAATCCCCAAGAGACAGACTGAGGGCATGTCTGCACAACCCTGTAAAGTAAAAGGCATTTGAAGTTGTCACCCTTGATTTCTCTGTACTATACAGAAAACAATATTCTGTGCAATCATGGTACCCTTCATACATATAACACAGGAATCTTTAGAGATGATAATCTTGCTCCTTTTTATTTTTTATTTTTTTGAGGCAGGCTCTTGCTCTGTTACCCAGGCTAGAAGGTGGTAGAAATATCACGACCCACAGCAGCCTCAACCTCCCAGGTTCAAGCAATTCTCCCACCTTGGCCTCCCAAGTAGCTGGGAACCACAGGCATGTGCCACCATGAGTGGCTTATCTTTTTTATTTTTTTGTAGAGATGGAGTCTCACTATCTTCCCCAGGCTGGTCTCCAACTCCTGGGCTCAAGCAATCCTCCCTTCTTGGCTTCCCAAAGTGCTGGTATTAGAAGAAATAGCCACCTTGCCAGGCTGGTTCTTCTTAAATAGTAGATATGTTTAAGTAATTGTCACAATGTAGCAATTAGAAACATACTTCTACAGTAATCTCAAACCAGTATGGTAGATAAGAACACAACCTACCAAGAAGAGAAAGAGAACAGAGAATTTTTAATGCTTTCTTCATGTGGGTACAAAACTACTATCATACAAAGTGGCAACTATTTTTTTAAGTTATCATTTAGAAAAATGACCTTCAAATAAGCCCACCTTCTGAGCACATTTCATAGCATCACAAAAATTGTTCACTGGGACTTCGATTGTTTAAAAAAAAGTCATGATTGTGCTTTGCTTACCTAAATCACAACTAATTTCTCTAACAAACAGAATTTTCATTCTTCTAAATTATGTACAATTTTAAAATAATAACAAGCTAAGATACCTCTGAAAATTACAGAATATATTGGAAAAACTATCAGTCATTTGTAGCTTCTTTGGAAAGGATAATTCTTCCAACTGGTGTGGACTTTCAGATTCAGTGTTGTTTATGAGCGTGCTAACCGGCCCTTTTTCACTGTGCTGTCATATCCTGTCACAGGGGAATGCCTGAACTAAACAGGCACCCAGGAGCTGACCATCTCTGAGATCTCAGAGAAGTAACTAACATTGTCCAACTAGTCTTCTCCCTTACAAAAACCAAGAATGTTGAATTATAGGGTCTCCAAGAAAACTTCTAAGTCTAAAAGAGTGAATATGAGTATGATTGTCATCATCTCCTACCTTAAATATACACCTAGGCTAAACTGGAAGTTGAGGACTATTAACACACACGTCTATTTGATATTTTCATCTATTTGATACATGCTTTGTCAAATAATCAGCTATTGCATACTGGGATGACTTCAGGCCCATCTTTTTCAGAAGGTGCTGAAAGAACAGTTCTATTCGTATTGCCTATATGCTGTAAAGAGCTGCTGAAATTTTCTTCTAATTCTACATATTTCTATGTACCTCAACAAAAAGACTGTACCCCAATTACCAAGATGTAAAGTGATACACTCTTTCTACAGATTAGATTGATAACAAAATTCCTTTACATAGAAATTCATCTGAGAGCTAATGATCAAGATCTGCTAAAGCCACAGTTGCATTAACACCAAACTATTTAAGTGGTCTGCTGAAAATCAGACAACACAATTAGAAAACCATCACTTAATTGTAATTAAAACAAATTTTAAAAACCTGAGAGTCATGCTAACATGTTTTTAATCACAAAGACACTAAAAAATAAATATACTGAAAATATAAGTACTCATCCAGCAAAATCTTATAATAAGCAAATTTGATGACAATTGATGTCACTTTGAAAGACATGTATAAAATAGTGATTAGAGGTGCATAATTTAATCTACTCCAGGCTAATTATAGAGTCTAGACATTTTGCATAATACTAAAACTGAATTTTTATCTTTTAACTATTATTAAGTATTTACACTCGATTCTCTAAATATATGTCCTGAAATCATTTTAAATAATTATGAGCACACACATTCCTTCTATCCTAATTAAATATAATGTGCCAGTAATAAAATCCAGTGGTAGTAGAAAAATGCAGAACAGATCTATAAATCAGAACTTTAAGACAATTTGTAAAAATGAGCATTTTTCCTGCAGCCAGACAACTTTCATTAAATGGTCTTAAATTTTCAGCCCATGTAGACTATCTTACTCACATTCACAAAGTGCCTTGCAGTGTTTGGATCAAAAGCAAAACCTTTGTAAGATTCCAGAAGCAGCCAAATCCCAAAGAGACTGACACAGAAAAAGAGAGAAACTATTCTATTTAGGTCTTTCAGAGGGACTATTTTTAATTTAATCTTAAAACCAGACATTTTTAGAACCCTGGTAGAAATGCTAGCATTAACTGTATATGGTCCATTATGGCGAATTTACTATCAGTATCAGTTCCAGGAACCAGAATGGTTAGGACTAGAGAAGATATGAGAAAAGTCCTAAATGAACTGATTCACATCCAGGAAAGCCACACCAAGGTTGGTAACTCATGACAGGGGTAGAAAAATGAAGTGGCCACTCCAGGAAAAATCCAGAAGCTTGTGGTCTAGCAGAGTCAAAATTCTGGGTCAAGAGAAATGCCTATAAAGGCTAGAGATCATACCAGCCTGTGGACACTAGAAAAGCAAACAAGACTCTCCAAAATAACCATCCCATAAAAAGGACAGGCACCACATTGCATCCACAGTTCTTGGTATAGCTGCCTACACAGAGTAGGCATTCTAACATTTGTTGATGAAGAGTCAACAAGTCAAGCAGCTCAGAAAAAAACAAGATGGCACACCATACTCAAGACAGGAATCCACAGGAACCTGAGGGTCCTAGAGGCAGGGCTTAGCCCCCAGGTAAGCAATGAGGGGTCTGAGGTAGCACACGGCAGTGGCAGCAAGAAAACTTTGAGACTCGGGCTACTTTCTGTCTCTATCTTTTGCAGATAAGTATCTGTGAAGGCAAAAGTCAATCCCAGGCAGTCAGCCCATGAAGACTGGGAATGTGAGGCTGAAAGAACAAAGGATGAGAGCAGACATGACTGCAAGATTACTTCAGGAACAGTCCTCTTTAGTATATTTCAAACAGAGCTTTACAAAGAAAGTGCATACGTGTGTTTAGGTGTATGTGTTGTGTGTACGAGCGTGTTTTTTTATTTTAGCAAGCTTACTATTATTTTATTTTTATTTATTTATTTATTATTATTTTAGCAAGCTTACTATTGTAAGACAAGGAAATGCTGCTGGTGTATGTCCACAATGATCAGGAGGAAATGAGGTCAGAAGAAGTTGTCTGCCCTCAAACTGCTAGGCCAAAATAGAAAATTTCCAATTATTCCTTATCAAACAAGGGTAGGTTGGGTGCCAGCTCACTGAATATTTGCATTATATGTACGTGAACTTTTCTTTTTACACTAGTTCTAATTTCAGTGACACAGCACGAATAGCTGAAATCCTTCAAGAGTGAACGTCTGTGCCCTCCCAAAATTCATATATTGAGGCCCTAACCCCCAATGTGATGGTACTAGGAGATGGGGCTTTTAGGAGGTAATTAGGTTTAGATGAGGGCAAAGGGGTGAAGTCCTCTCTTTTTTAAGAAGAGACCAAAGAACTTTGTCTCTCCCTCTCTCTCTCTACCATATGAAGACACAGCAAGAAGGTGGCTTGTCTATAAGCCAGGAAGAGGGTCTCTGCCAGCCACTAAATCTTGAGGTGCCTTGATCTTAGACTTCCTAGCCTCCAAAACTGTGAGAAATAAATGTTGTTTAAGCTTCCCAGTTGATGAAATTTTGCTATAGCAGCCTGAGCAGACTAAGACAAGCATTAATTCTCTCCTCAATCCTAAACAAATTATTCTTTTGTGGAATGTTAGAAAAAAAACGCATTTACATTATCTTTATTTTTTTCCTGAAAATTCTATTGTTACTATTTTTTATCACTACTTGGCTTTTTCTTTCTTTTTTTTTTTTTTAATAAAAATGCCCAAATCTTCCATGTAAGCTTCAGGATGAGAGGTTACCTTGGGTAGGAGTTGGGGTGGGGGAACGTGACTGAGAGGAACACAGAGAGCTTCTGAGACACAAGCAATGTTCTATTTCTCAACCTGGATGGTGGGTATATACGAATGTCCATTTTATTACTCTTCTTTAAACTGGGTGAATATATTTTCCACTCCTTTATGTGTACATTTCATAATTTTCATAAATTAGAGGAAAAGAAACCCAAAATGTTTACAGATAATAGAAAGAGAAGAGCCCAGCCCAATTCTGACATTAAAAATTTTGAGTATGAGACAAAATGAGCCAGAAACAGACCCAGGAAAAAGCCTCTGGAATTAGAAAGCTGTCACTACTAAGACCAGAACAGGAAAAAAAACTCTAAAGAACATGTGGGAGGTGAAAAGCACAGAGAGAACAAAAGGCAACTTTCTCCTTCTCTAAAAATAGCAAGCCTATTAGGCCACTTTTAGACTCCAGTCTAAAAGTGTTCACATAGGAGTCCATTTATATTAAAACAGTAAAACTTAGAAAGGAAAAAGTTCTTGGAGGATGCCAAAGCATGGAAAAGTTCAAAAATTTCACGAAATAATAGACCAGACAGGATTTGAACTATATCTGACTTTATTACCAAAATAGTGAACTATCAGACCAGAGAGCTGTAGGAGCAGAAGATTAAAGGGTAAGACAAACCAAATCCTTCCCCACACTGTTTTTTTCTATGGAAGGACACAGGAGCAAAGACTGTGTGTGGTGCAACATGGAGCAAATCTCATGGAGCAAATCTCATGGAGCGTGCCACCACAACAAAGCTGGTTTCAAAATAAAATGGCAAGGGAAATTATCCCGTGCCCTTCCCTGGAAGAATGTGCAAACTTATATTTAATTTTTAAAAAACAGATCTTGCTTTCAATCACCAAAACTGCCGTGGCTGGAAAATATCAATCTCAGTTGTTTCAATGATCACTAGAAAACATATTTCTGAGTTCATAATGACAATAAATGTCTTCCTTTTCTGACTCCCATATTCTCCTACTGTAATAAGAGATGTTTGTACACAGGAAGGTGAAATTCATGGATGATAACACCAACAGTGAATCTAAAGAAAAGCAAGACCTATGATCACGACTATACTGAGATACAGGCATACCTTGGGGATACTGCAGGATCTGTTCCAGACTACCACAATAAAGCAAGTATCACAATAAAGCAAGTTACACAATTTTTTGGTTCCCCAGTGTACATAAAAGGTAGGTTTACACTATACTGTACTCTAGTCTATTATGCATGTAATAGCATTATATCTAAAAATACTTTATTGCTAAAAAACGCTAATGATCACCTGAGCCCTTCAGCAAGTTGTAATCATTTTGCTGGTAGAGGGTCTTGTCTTGATGTTGATGGCTGCTGAACTGAGTGATCAGTGGTTGCTGAAGGCTAGAGTGGCTGTGCCAATTTATTGAAATAAGACAACAATGAAGTTTGTCTCATTGATTGACTCTTCATGAAAGATTTCTCTGTAGCATGTGATGCTGTGTGACAGCATTTTACCCGCAGCAGAACTTCTTTCAAAATTGGAGTCAATCCTCTCAAACTCTGCCCAACCAAGTTTATGTAATATTCTAAATCCTTTGCTGTCATTTCAACAATGTTCACAGCAACTTCACCAGCAGTAGATTCCATCTCATGAAACCACTTAAGTAACTCTTCATCCATTCAAGTCTTATCATGAGATTGCAGCAGTTCAGTCACATCTTCGGGCTCCACTTCTAGTTGTTCCTCTCTTACTGTCTTTCTACCACGTCTGCAGTGACTTCCTCCACTGAACTCTTGAACCCCTCAAAGTCATCCATGACGGTTGAAATCAACTTATTCCAAACTCCTGTAAATGTTTATATTTTCACCTCCTTCCATTAATTAGGAATGTTCTTAATGGAATCCAGAATGGTTAATCCTTTCCAGAAGGTTTTCTATTTACTTTGCCCAGACCCAATAGAGTAATCACGATCTATGGCAACTATCACTTTACAAAATGTAATACAAAATGTATTTCTGAAATAATAAGACTTGAAAGTTGAAATTACTCCTTGATTCATGGGCTTCAGAATGGATGTTGTGTTATCAGGCATAAAAACAACATTAACCTCGTACATCTCCATCAGCACTCTTTGGTGGCCAGGTGCATTGTCAATGAGCAGTAATATTTTAAAAAGGAATCTTTTTTTGTCCTGTGCCATAGGTCTCAACAGTGTGCTTAAAATATTCAGTAAACCATATTGTAAACAGATGTGCTGTCACCCAGGCTTTGTTGTTCCATTTATGGAGCACAGGCAGAACAGATTTCGCATAATTCTTAAGGGCTCTAGGATTTTCAGAATGCTAAATGAGCACTGGCTTCAACCTAAAGTCACAAGCTGCATTATCACCAAACAAGAGTCAGCCTGTTCTTTGCAGCGTCGAAGCCAGGTTTTGAGTTCTCCTCTCTAGTTAGGAAAGTCCTAGATGGAGTCTTCTTCCAATAGGAAGGCTGTTTCATCTACATTGAAAATCTGTTGTTTAGTGTAGCCACTTTTATTAATTATCTTAGCTAGATGTTCTGGATAACTTGCTTCAGCTTCTACATTAGCACTTGCTGCTTTACCTTGCACTTTTATGTTATGGAAACAGCTTCTTTCCTTAAATCTCATGAACCAAATTCTGCTAGCTTCAAACTTTTCTTCTGCAGCTTTTTCATCTCTCTCTGTCTTCATAAAATTGAGGGGAGATATGCTCTGGATTCAGCTTTCACTGAATGGAATGTTTTGGCTGGTTTGATCTTCTATCCAGAACATTAAAACTTTCTCCATATCAGCAACAAGGCTGTTTCACTTTCTTATCATTCCTGTGTTCACTGGAATAGCACATTTAATTTCCTTCAGAAACTTTTCCTTTGCATTCACAACTTTGCTAACTGACTCAAGAGGCCTCAGTTTCAACCTGTCTCAGCTTTCAACATGCCTTGAAACTATGCTTAGTAATTCCTACCTTTTAATTTCAAGTGAGAGACATGTGACTCTTCCTTTCACTTAAACACATAGAGGCCGGTATAAGGTTGTTAATTGACCTAATTTCAAAATTGTTGTGTTTCATGGAATAAGGAGGCCAGAGAGGGAGAGAGAAGGGGAATGGCCAGTCAGTGGAGAAGCCAGGACATACACATTTATCCATAAAGTTCACTGGATTCTATGGGTACAGTCTGTGGTACCCCCAAAACAACCATAATAGTAACATCAAACATCACTGATCACAGATCATAATAATTTAAATAATAATGAAAAAGTCTGAAATACTGCGAGAATTACCAAAATATGACACAGACAGAGAAGTGAGCATGCGCTGTTGGAAAAATGGTGCCAATAGACTTGCTCAATGCACGGCTCCCAAAAACCTTCAACTTGTTAGAAGCACAATATCTGCAAAGCACAATTAAGTGAAGAACATAAAACTAGGTATATCTGTGCACTCATTTTATATAGTTCAAGGCACTTCCAGATGCTTTTTGCTCAAAAAAAAAGTCTTTTTCAGAGTTTCTATTTTTTCATCAAAGACAATACGTTACATTGTTAGACTATTTAGAACATCCAATAATTCTAAAAAGGGTTATTCTAGGAATGTCTTCACATGCATGCTCAGAGGGTCAGATCAGTATTATAAATTGTTCTATTTTTATACAAAAGTTTTTAGATCTTGAGGCCATGTAACGGCACTCAATAGCCTTTTCAGCTGATTATAGTATCTAAAACCAGAGGACATTTTTGAAATAGCTAGCAATTTAAATACCCACACTAAACTGCAATTTAAAATCAGAAATGATGAGTGAAGTAATAGCATAATGAGGCTTTTTTCCTTTTTTCTGTGTCTCATGCCTGATCATTCTTACAATTCTTAACTAGAGAAGAATTTGAATTTGTTCGTCCTTTAAGAGGCTATTAAGCAGCTTGTTTAGAAAATTGAAAGTAATTCTAATTTTTAAACCCATAATCTCATGAAATAAGCATGTGGCTATCAGTTCTCTTTATCTCTTTTATGTGAATTCTAAGCATTACACCATTTCCTACAGTTACCTACATTTCACCACATATGTCATTGAAATTACCTTCTAAATATTCCAAATCCCAGTCATCTGCACCTAGTGTTGAATACCTCAGTGAATGTTCCTAGTTAACAGAACCTCATTCGTTACCTTGTCATCCAAGGCCACTGACACTGTAACATACCTAGGGAAATATGTAACAATCAAAATACTTCCAGGGAATGAAAATGTTTCCTTCCCTCTCATTTTCTGTCTTAGACTATCATTAATTTTTCCTTATTTGGATTCCTTGCACAGATAAGTTCCTCATAAATAGCAACAAAGGAATAAAAAAAGAGGAATAAAAAATTACTACACATTCCCTACAGAAAGAAATTAGTCCAATTTCAAGCTGCTAAAAACTACAAAGCTAAATACTGAGAAGTCTAAGCCAACACATGCATCCCCAGAATTTCAACAGGTCAGAGGACCTTCTAGGGGTGAAGTGAAGAAATGTGAAAGTTCAAACGCCTGCTTGCCACACAGAGCTCCAAGGAGGTTCTGCTATGAGCTCCACTGTCCTGATTATGCCCCTAGGGAGGGATGCACCCCTCCAAGGCAGAGAACAACAGACTGGTGAAGAGTGATCAAAACAACAAACTCCAAACAAGCTGTGGAACCCTGGCTCACTCTTCCCTCCCTGTCCCCACTGGCTCTCCTCCCCACACTCTGCTTCAGCAAATAGCTGTCCCCATGCATGGAAGAATCATAATGAGAAAGAAAAGAACACAGATAACCAGGAAGAAAAGAAAGAAGGAAAGTAGCAAACCGCAGGGGAGATGAAGGATATGCATCATAAGAAAACAGAGGAAATGTTCAAATACTCTGATCTCAAAGAAATTATAGAAAGAACCTCTTTTGTAAAAGGACTTCAAAGAGACATCATAAAAGAACATGAAAAGGCAGCTGGCAAAGCTCAGGAGAGAAAAAAATGAAATAAAAAATAAATAGTACAAGGGTGCAACCCAAATTAGAAAAAGGAAAAACAACGAAAATACAGTCAGGAATCAATGATAAAATGGTATAGAGATGATAGACAAAAAAGATAAAAGATACATCTTGTTGGTAGGTACTCCTAAATAAAACACATGGAAGAGAAAAAAATAGGTAAAAATATAACAGAACAGAACTTTCCTAAAATCAAAGAAAGACTTGAATTTGCAGCTCAAAAAACTATACCATGTTCCTGGAAAAACTGGTAAAACAATGAACATAAATAGTGTTAGTACACCTGGAAGTTACTGATAAAGAAAAATCATATGACCATCTAAGGCTGAAAAAGCGAGCTCTCTAAAAGGAAAAACTAGGTGGCCTCACACTCACTGAGCAAATCTCCAGCTTAAGCTGAGCCATTTCTATAAAGTCCCAGGGAAAGTATGATTCAAAATTTCATGTCCAGCCAAGTTATTCTTCAAACACTTCCCAACTGTTGAAGAACTCATGAAATACAACACTCAAAAGTCTTTCTCAGACAATCTGCTTTTTAATTAATTCCAGTCAAGCCAAACACAAATAATCCAGGAAGTATGGAGAAACCATGCTAAAAAGACCCATGATGGGCCCAGTTATTTTAAGTAAAGAATTGGTATTTATTGTGGTTACTAAACAAAACACAAATTTAATAAATCTTGGCAATGTAAAAAGAACATTATAACAGGTGAGAATGAAGTGAAAGAAGTCTTAGTATATAAATTTCTTCTCTTCTTAAATATACAATCTGAGGCATTTCTTTTTAAACGACTCCATACAAAGTTCTTCACAACTTTAGTAGGATTTTTTTAGCAAGTAATATGTTTTGTTATAAAGAAATACAGTATTTGTCTGATCTTCACCAATTCCTTTCATTTCATTTGTTTTTCTTTTAAATTTAATATTTATTAAGCCCCAAAAGAAGGTGCTCATAATTAGAATCACAGACCATGAGTTCCTCCACGTATAATTCCTCCTAATGTGATTTCATGCACAGTATATGCACTTCATAACTATGATGCATAATTAGAAAGCAAAAACTAGGAAGGAACTAAATAAAGAGACCAAGTCTAGGAAATGAGTCTCAATTCAAGACTAACTGCAGTCAATTGGGTCTGACAATCTACAAAACTATGTTGATAAAGATTCTGAGCTCAAGTCTGGGATCCAAAGGAAAGACTCCTACAACTATTAGCTAATGTCAAAGCCACGGGCTCAGGAGGAGAGAAGGAATCACTCATGTGTCACACAGCCACTACTGATACTTGTCTTCATTACATAAAACTTATTACCATAGTTTATTTTTTGTTATATAATTTTAACTATGAAAATAATACAAGTTCATTACAATGTCAAAAATACAGAGGTAAAGAAAATACAGGCTGGGCGCAGTGGCTCACACCTGTAATCCCAGCACTTTGGGAGGCCAAGGCCGGCGGATCACCTGAGGTCAGGAGTTTGAGACGTGCCTAACCAACATGGTGAAATCCCATCTCCACTAAAAATACAAAAATTAGCTGGGCGTGATGGCGCATGCCTGTAGTCGCAGCTACTCGAGAGGCTGAGGCAGGAGAATCGCTAGAACTCAGGAGGCAGAGGTTGCAGTGAGCCAAGATCAAGCCACTGCACTCCAGCCTGGGTGACAGAGCGAGACTCCATCTCCAAAAGAAAAAAAAGAAAAAAGAAAATACAAATAATCTCCCCCTGAAAAATAAATTTAATATTGTATTCAAATTTTGTTAAATTTAATCATTTATATTTAAAATATCATTATAGAATAATCTCATATGTGTACACTATCAAGCCTTCTATCAGTATACATACAGAGTTCTCTGAATTAAGTTTAACAATATTAATAATGGTTACTTCTGAATACGAATCTGTTTTTCACTTTTTCTTTGTATTCTTTTTGTATCGACTTGACATTTTATAATGAGCAGTCACTTTTCCAAAAACATTATCTCTTTACAAAAAAACTGCTTTTGATTTAACAGCTATTCTTCTATGTCTCAAAAGTACAAAGATTTCTGACAATGAAAAAGAAACTAATATAAACATCTATTGCTATCTTCTTTTCATATGATGGTTTGGTGACAACAGGTCTCTAACTTCACTACTGAGGATGAACAAGTAACTTGGGATATTCATTGCTTCATCATGACAAGCTGCCATTTTAATGAATCCTTGGTTTTGGACAAAACTTTGCCAGCGATCTCAGAGAGAAAAATTGAGAAAATTATTCATAGAGTTATAAGGTGCGTTTGTTACAAGTCTTATGTTGTTGATGACTTCTCAGAAATAAGACAAGGTCTTTACTACTCAAATACAAAATGCCTATTTCAGCACCTGGAACTTAGTAGGTACCTCAATGCATGCTATGTTTAGCTTCATTAGGTGATATTTGAAAAGCAGGGGGCTTTACTAAGCCCCTTCCTTTTCTTTCTTCTTTTTCTTTCTTTTTTTTTTTTTTTTTGGAGACAGAGTCTCAGTCTCAGTCCAGGCTGGAGTGCAGTGGCATGATCTTGGTTCACTGCAGCCTCTGCTTCCCAGGTTCAAGCGATTCTCCTGCCTCAGCCTCCTGGGTAGCTGCGACTACAGGTGTGAGCCACCACGCCCGGCTAATTTTTGTATTGTTAGTAGAGATGGGGTTTCCCCATGTTGGCCAGGCTGGTCTCAAACTCCTGACCTCAGGTGATCCGCTCGCCTCTGCCTCCCAAAGTTCTGGGATTACAGGTGAGAGCCACCACGCCCAGCCTAGCCTTTTCTAAGACCTGTTAGTAAAGTGATAAAAAGTAAACTAGGCGGCCGGACACAGTGGCTCACGCCTGTAATCCCAGCACTTCAGGAGGCCAAGGTGGGCGGATCACGAGGTCAGATCAAGACCATCCTGGCTAACACGGTGAAACCCCGTCTCTACTAAAAATACAAAAAATTAGCTGGGCGTGGTGGTGGATGCCTGTAGTCCCAGCTACTCGGGAGGCTGAGGCAGGAGAATGGCGTGAACCTGGGAGGTGGGGCTTGCAGTGAGCCGAGATTGCGCCACTGCACTCCAGCCTGGGAAACAGAGCGAGACTCCGTCTCAAAAAAAAAAGTGAACTAGGCAATTTATTTATAAAGGAGAAAAACTCTTTGTCTCTTCTTCATTTCATTAAACCCTTACCTCCACTGAGAGACAGACCTAGAAATGAGGGAAGCCCAAGCAGGCTGCACAGGATCATTGGTCTGCAGATCTGTGCTCTATAATCACCATTGAATACCAGCCTATAAATTTACGGGCTAAAATAAAGTCTATCAGGAAATAAAAGACCCAGGAAAGCTTAAAGACACCTATAAACTTAAAAGGCAAGTTTGCATTTTTATATCAGTGAGACCAAACAAAAGTATTAGACTACGGCTTAAAAATACACAACAGTGGACATTCAGACAAAATCTCATTAAGAAAAGTACATTTTTAAATGAAGCACGCAGGAAAAAGCCATACAATAAATCCTACTGTATTAGTACTTTCTCGCATTGCTATAAAGAAATACCTGAGCCTGAGTAATTTATAAAGAAAAGTGGTTTAATTGGTTCACAGTTCTGTAGGCTATACAGGAAGCATGGTGGCATCTGCTCAGCTTCTGGGAAGGCCTCAAAAAACTTACAATCACAGTGGAAGGTGAAGGTGGGAGGCCGGCATTTCACATGGCCAGAGCAGGAGGAAGAGGATGCAAGGGGGGTGGTGCTGCATACTTATAAACAACCAGATTTCATTAGAACTCAACTCACTATTGTGAGGACAGTACCCAGGGGGATACAGTGCTAACCCATGCATGAGAAGTCTGCCCCCATGCTCCAATCACCTCCCACCAGGCCCCACCTCCACCACTGGGGATTACAATTCGACATGACATTCGGTGGGGCCACAGATCCAAACCATATCACCTACCATGCAAGCATCTGACTGCAACTTATCATATGGGATGTCATAGTTTTATCAATGGTCAAATTTTAAATATACTTTCTTATAGTTAAAAAAAATAGCCCTGCATTTATATCTCACTATGTGAATGTTGAAAAGCAAGAGTCCTTAAATAGATGTGAATCTCCTTTTATTGCAAGGTAAGGTACAATCCAATCCAACATTTTTCAGATCCTCTGAGCACCTTTTTCCATTTTTAAAAATGATTTCAGCCATCCCACTCTTTTTCACTTATACAGGTTTATCTAACAATTAATTTTGACAAATACCTGCTGTTTCATGTCAAAATGCAAGTATGATTGATTGGAAAACAAGATTTTTCTCATTTTACTTAGATAAAACCAAGGGACATGACTACACACCTGCTTAAAGAATTAGATTGTTTTGTGAACAGCAGAGAAGTTAAGAAAAAAATGCAAATGATGATTAAGCATGACGGGCTTTACCCTTCAGAGAGCAAACATCCAGAAAAATAAACAGACTAGATCTGCAATCTAAAAGGTAAAATCCAAATGAAGGTACTCTGTTTACCTCAATATGGAAATACAGATTTCAAGCTATAACTGACGAAATGCTTGAAAGAGTAAAAACCAAACAGTGGGAACCTAGGAACGTTAAGGTCCATGACAGCCTGTAGTGTGAGTAGGTGGACAAGGCCTGGAGAAAGACTCCTAAACTGAAGTTTTCTTCTGCCTAGCGAAACATCAGCTCCACTTGGTGAACCTTGAGAGCAAAGGCTTAGCCCACTACATTTCACTTTTCAGCTGAAGTTACTACTTTTTGCATCCCTATTCTGCTTTGCTTCTACTTTATTTTCCTACCATCCTACAGGGTCCAGGGTCAGCATGTGGTAATGAATCCCCACCCATAAGCCTTTTCCTCTGCAAAAGTTGCTTAAATATGACAAAGAATAACCGTGTAGAAAGATACCACCTTTTGTTTGCAGAAATTGTTGTGGTGAGGCAAAAACAAAAGGCTTGTCTAGAAGAGACTTGGTAAGAAATTTCATGAAATCTGGTAGCCTCTATGAGGCATATGTTAATTTAACAGGAAATAAATTATTTTGTCTTGTCTGAGAACTCTAGACTTTAAATCTAACCCTTCTTAATGTGATGATCCATTCTATAAAGTGTCAACACACAACTAAAAAAGGGCTGGACCTTCCCAAGAACCAATGTAAATCTGTGTCACCCACAAAAATCCCACATTCTCTCTCTAAGGAAAAGGAGAAAGCCTGGTGAAAATCTGGATATCCTTTGCACTTGCAGCTATATGGGGGTGCCTCTTTAGACAGCCGGTGGAGATCCAGAGCCAGAATGCAGATGAAATCAACTATATGTACAACTTAACATTCAAGATCTAACTCCTCCATGCCTCAGTTTCATCATCTGCAAACGGGGATAATAATAGTAATATGGTTTGAGTCTGTGTCCCTGCCCAAATCTCATGTAATCCCCAATGTTGAAGGTAGGGCCTTGTGGAAAGTGACTGGATCATGAGGGAGGATTCACTCTTTAGTGCTGTTTTCGTGACAGTGAGCAAGTTATCCAAGATCTGGTTGTTTAAAAGTGTGTGGAACCTCCCCCTTCTCTCTCTTCCTCCTACTCTGGTCATGTAAGACGTTGCCTGCTTCCCCTCACCTTCCGCTATGACTGTAAGTTTCCTGAGGCCTCCCCAGCCATGCTTCCTGTAGAGCCTGCAACACCAAGAGCCAGTTAAACCTCTTTTCTCCATAAACCCTTACCCAGTTTCAGGAATTTCTTTATAGCCATGTGAGAACAAACTAATACAAATAGTAACTATCTCCCCGGTTGCTGTGAGAACAAAATGAGTTAGCTCATATAAGGCACTTTGGACACTATAACACACACTGGAAATGTGTAGATTATTAGTGATTAAGTTGATTATTAGTGTTATTTTGCCTGGATTCCAGGCCCTGTTAACTTTGAGCTAAAATTTTTATCCTTTTGCTGACAATTCTGGAGGTGAAAACCAAATCTAAACTACCATTTTAGAAGCTTTAGTTTGCAAATACATACCTCCTGGAAAATTCTATAGCTAGTAGGTTTGATAGCCCCTTCTTCCCCTATAGGCCACTTGGCTCTTACCAAAGTCAGGAGAGGAAGTCTTATAGCAATCAAATCTGGTACTGAAGACCTCAAAACATATTCTCAGTCCCAGAATCTTCATTAATGTTTTGACATACTTATTCTTCTTTTTACTTAATCTTTACTATTTAAATATTCTGAAATATTTAGGTACAGACGGTACATTTAATAATTCCACATACATAATCTACAGCTTACACATATAAGAGCCCTATAGGCAATACTGTCCCTATTAGTAAAGGAGAATGACAAGAGCTATGGGCTGAAAGTCCAGAGTCCTGGGTTCTAGGGCTCAACACACCCCAAGGGGACCCTGGACAAAAGTGTCCACTACTAAATTTCTGGGTCTTCATCTGTAGATGGTGGAATTTGGTGCAAACTCTGTAACTCTACAAAGTATGTGTCAAATTAATAGCTACATTTCTGAAGTTATTTTGCTAAAAATTGAAATAAAGCCCTTTGTTTTCCAGATTTCAGATTCATGATACTCTTAAGTACCTGGAACATGGCCAGCATCTAGGATACAAAGTTGAGTCTTCAAAAGCACTATTTTCAAGGCAGGGCGTCTCTTACACTTGGCCAGAGAAGACCTCAAGTCTTTATTCAAGGTTACTAACCCATGACTAACATAAAATGCTACTAATTTTGGTTATTTCTTATTCTGGCTCTAACACATTAAAAAGGAACAAATTAGTTAAGAGCTGGGCTGATACAACAGGTTCACTCAGGGCAAATATGATAACCTATATAACAAGAAAACAGTCACAAAGCCTATCATATTGCTGATTAAACAGGCAAACCAATAATTTTGCATATTAAAAAGTAAAATTACATCTAATACATTCTATCAAAAAAATGTATTTAACATATTATAGAGGATTTTTAAATGGCACCTTTTTTAAAAGTTGTATTAAAGATATATAAAGATTATATCAAGAAATAGGTCATGAATATATCAAGGAATATATCAAAGATATACCAAGGATATATAAAAGTTATATCAAGGAATAAATTTAAGTTACCTGGAAAACCTACTTAATGTGTAAAACTCCATTCCCAGAAGCCTGTATAAATGAGGCTTTACAATATAAGACCTTTCAAAATAGTCCTTTATAGGTTTTAGGTGATCGGGAAAAAATTAGGTCAAAATTTACGTAGTTGCAGCACAGACAACTGTGTTAGTGAAGCCATGATAACTCTGAGTGGTTTTTAAGTAAAACCTTACTTAATGCTTCCATGAATAGCAAAATAGGAAATAACAGACTGTTCACAAATCCTTACAGCAGCCATTAAAAAGGCCAAAATCAGAATTGACTTATGACAGAATATTTGCAGAAGAAACTGATTATTACTGGTCATGTAATAGAAAGTATACTTTGCCAAAGGAATGAAACACCCGTTAAATGCCTATTATACATGCCAGTCCCTTCACATACTGCACCTCAATTAGCCCTTCCATCAATCTCAGTTTTCAGTTTCATAAACTGAGGGTCAGAGTGGTCTCACGATTTCCCCCCAGTGGCAGAAGCAGAATGTAAGTCAAAATATTTAGCTATAAATCTAAAACATCTACCATACCACACTATTAATTCACTCATTATACAAACATTGACTGACCCTCTACCTTGTGTCAGGCCTAGTTTTAGGAGCTGATAAGCAATGTATTTCTTTTTCCCTCATCCTTTTCTCACTTCATTATCTCCTCTCCTTTAACTTTCAGACAAGTACCTTCTTGTCTACTGTAAGAAATCACCCATTCAAACCCAACATACAGAGAGTAACTATGCCTAGGGAAAAAAAGTCATTTAGTTCATCCCAAAAACAAATATGAGATTTGAACACTCTAGTGAACATCATGCTTTGCTCAAGAGGAGATCAGTGCAGCCCTTCTGGAGGACGATCCTGAAGTACTTCATCAAATTAAGTACACACTGGCCCAATAAACCAGCAACACAACCACAAGCCATATTATAACGCACATGTATAAATCAGGATGGATAAAGCCCATTGGCCTATACAGCCAATGTATATGTATATGTATAAATGGGCTCTATTCATCCTGATTTATACATATACATTATAATATGGCTTGTGGTTGTGGAGAGCCACGGGGAATCTACATAGCTCCCCCTGGGGGATGAAGCAGTTAGAGACACAATATAGGGTACTCTACCACGGTTAGATATAAAAATGTACACAGGTTTACAGACAGACCTTTAAACATTGTATTGAGTAGAGATCTATAGCATAACACTATTTTTAGTAAATAAAATTACATGTCCACAAACTGTAATTTTTAAGAACACCTATAATAAAAAGATCGTGTAAAACACATCGGGTTGGTTGCCTCATTAGGATATGGTCAGGGAAAATAAGATGGGGACTGGAGATAGATAAAGATAATGAAAACATTAAACAATACTGGGGCTTTGCTCAGATCAATGATCTAACATGGCATAAATGTGAAAGACAATTAACAACAGCCCTCTGTACCTGAAGTTCATTGGAAACCCAAGGAGTATCACTTAGAATCACCAAAACATACGATTTACAAGTGTTTGACTTCTTTTCTACAGTTCTTCAAAGTCGATGGAAAAATACCAATTTTTGGCCAACATTTGTATTACATATGAAAGAAGTAATAAGCTGAATGTCATAATTACAAACCAAAAAAACAAACAAAAAACTCTTTTAAATCCATAAACACAGAAGAAAAGTTTCTGCTGGCTCATAGGTAACACAGGAGAAAATAACTACAGTTATTTATAAAATGTTTTTAGGTAAAATCATCAAAAGGTGACCTGTTTTGAACAAAGACTATGGCCAAAGAGCCAGTTTAAACAGCATGCCCTGTTTTCAATCGCATTTGGAAGATAGATGTGTTAAGAATAACAAAAGATAACAATAATCACAAAATTGTGGTATTGCATACTGATGGTTTCTAAATCATTTTTTATACACCACCATCATTCCCCAAATCAAGGCAAAGGAAGTTAGTGCATTTTTGACATTATTCTTCCCAATGCAACCAGATACAAATTAATTTTTGGCATCAAATTTAATTTTTAGAATAAACTAATATTTTCTGTAAAGAAGATACTAAAAACATATTTGTGTTACTGCATTTCAATTCTAACCAGAATGCTAAAACATTATATTTCAATGAAATTTTAGAAATAAAACTAAATTATATTTAACACATTGGTTTTATATTTAATAATGGGTAGGTATTAACTTCTCTCTTAACAGACAGTATTAACTTCAATTCATTTGTAAATCATATTGAGACAGCAAAATCTGGCAGAATTCAACCTGAGATTGCTATCACCTTGCAAAAAGTTCTTATAGACTCAAAATATCCCTTTTCAGACTATAAAAATCTCCTGCTGTTTAATAGCACTGGACACTGGCAGGAAGAAACTATAAATAGCTTCTTATGTGCTTAAAATATAGTATTTTTCATGCCTTAGAAAAGTTCTTTTTATAATTTTCCACTCTTGGAAAATGATCTGTATTCTTATTTTATATTCTAGGTAAACACATACGAACAGAACTTTGGCTGTTATCTTTGGGACAATAGCAATGTCAGGAACCAATTTCCAGGAGGTGCTGATAACTGAATGAAGTAGCCTAATGCTCAGTCTCCATGAGTGAGTTGCTTTAAGTGCAAAAATTGAAACCAGGGGATAAAACGTTACAGAATGACATGAAAAAAAAAAGTACTTGATAGCAATCAGCATAGTTTAAGAATCAGCTACCTAAGTCTGGAAGTGTTCAGGAATACACCAGAAGAGCTCTCAATAGGGATAAGAAGAGATTCGAAAATCAGCTAGGGAGTTAGATTGCAGGACATTTAAAGATTTATCTAACCTCAACATGTCATGATAAAAAGGAAGCTCATTTTTAAAAAGCTACAAGTTGTTCTTGGAAACAGGAAACAAATACACAAACATACATGTAATCGTTTTCACTGAGGTATCACAATCAAAGCTCTTTTCAATTCAGTAGCCTGTATAAATCCCTGCAATTCAAACACTACACACAACTAAGTCAAAAAAAAAAAAAAGTGAGTGGCTCACCTCTTAGCCTTCTTTGATATATTGACTTTAAACAGGAAAACACTGAAACCCAACTTTCAAAAAAGAGGTTGAACTATGCTTTCTTCAACAGTAAGAAAACTGTATCTTCTACTAAAAAAATAAATAATTAAAAGCATGAGGTTGTGACACTCAAAGCCCTACCAGATGTGGCAGATGAGAGAGGGTGATTCATCAACGGTGGATAAAAATGCTGGCAGGAAAGTATCTCCCAGCGAACCAGGGATCCCTCACACAGGTGGAAGCAGATGACAGTAGATACAGCCCAAAGATACACACTCTCAGGTTCCTGGAGGTCCCTTGATGCCAAGGGCAGAGGAAGGACAAGACTAACCCTCAGGATTGTGCACAAAGGAGAGGAGATGGGCATCCATGCTTCTCTGTGAAAGGTATTACCTATAGAGCTAGTAGTCAAATTATACTAAGAAAAACATTTTGATTACAGACCCTGTATCATTCACCGCTGAGATAGAGATAAATCTTACTAATATACAAGGTTTTGTTTCCCTTCTAAAAGCTACTTTTGAGCACCGATTTTTCATGAACATAATATCCATTATCATGGCTAACTACCTGCATGTTGGTGCTACACAAATGTGGAGTAATATCTAAGGAATTGTGTTATTTTTGTACTTTGAGAGTCATATAATTTAATCATTACTTACCAGGAAGTTGCCTTCAAAGAAAGAGACAAAAACACTAGTTTTCTTTTGCTTCCTATATGGTGTGGCTACCATGACAATAGATCTAATGCAACAATGAGTACGAGATCATCTACACTGATATTAGTATCTGATCAACACAACAAGGCATTAAGCTAGCCTTATATTCTGGGCCTTATAGGAAGAAAGAATTTTCTGCATAAAAAATAACCAGCAAAAATAAATTTTCAAACAAGTCGTGCAATATTTTAATAATAAAAAAATACTTCCAAACAGCATATCTTCAGGAGAGATAAACTCAAAACAAGAAAAATGTAGTACGGGTGTTGTTCACGGTGCTGGGTGAAGGAACAGTTTGATTCCTTTAATCCGCCAACCTGAAAACCTTGTCTCAAACTGCTTTTATTGAAAATACTTCATGGTGTCTTAAGGTTTGCTCATTTTTTCATAGTTCACTGAATCAAACGTATACAAAGAACCCAGGAATTCAAAGCTGCATGAAAATAGACATATTATTTACTTCTAAAAGCACTGTTGTCACTAGATGTTTCCATTCAGACATGAGAACATTAGTGATTTCACAGCAACAGAGTTAACTAAACCTCTCAAAGGAGTAAGATCACATGTAAATTTTTTTTATTTTATTTATTTTCTTATTATTATTATACTTTAAGTTTTAGGGTACATGTGCACAACGTGCAGGTTTGTTACATATGTATACATGTGCCATGTTGGTTTGCTGCACCCATTAACTCGTCATTTAGCATTAGGTATATCTCCTAATGCTATCCCCCCTCCCCCCACCCCACAACAGTCCCTGGTGTGTGATGTTCCTCTTCCTGTGTCCATGTGTTCTCATTGTTCAATTCCCACCTATGAGTGAGAACATGCAGTGTTTGGTTTTTTGTCCTTGCGATAGTTTGCTGAGAATGATGGTTTCCAGCTTCATCCATGTCCCTACAAAGGACATGAACTCATCCTTTTTTATGGCTGCATAGTATATGGTGTATACGTGCCACATTTTCTTAATCCAGTCTATCATTGTTGGACATTTGGGTTGGTTCCAAGTCTTTGCTATTGTGAATAGTGCCACAATAAACATACGTGTGCATGTGTCTTTATAGCAGCATGATTTACAATCCTTTGGGTACATACCCAGTAATGGGATGGCTGGGTCAAATGGTATTTCTAGTTCTAGATCCCTGAGGAATCATCACACTGACTTCCACAATGGTTGAACTAGTTTACAGTCCCACCAACAGTGTAAAAGTGTTCCTATTTCTCCACATCCTCTCCAGCACCTGTTGTTTCCTGACTTTTTAATGATCGCCATTCTAACTGGTGTGAGATGGTATCTCATTGCGGTTCTGATTTGCATTTCTCTGATGGCCAGTGATGATGAGCATTTTTCATGTTTTTTTGGCTGCATAAATATCTTCTTTTGAGAAATGTCTGTTCATATCCTTCACCCACTTTTTGATGGGGTTGTTTTTTTCTTGTAAATTTGTTTGAGTTCATTGTAGATTCTGGATATTAGCCCTTTGTCAGATGAGTAGGTTGCAAAAATTTTCTCCCATTCTGTAGGCTGCCTGTTCACTCTGATGGTAGTTTCTTTTGCTGTGCAAAAGCTCTTTAGTTTAATTAGATCCCATTTGTCAATTTTGGCTTTTGTTGCCATTGCTTTTGGTATTTTAGACATGAAGTCCTTGCCCATGCCTCTGTCCTGAATGGTATTGCCTAGGTTTTCTTGTAGGGTTTTTATGGTTTTAGGTCTAACATGTAAGTCTTTAATCCATCTTGAATTAATTTTTGTATAAGGTGTAAGGAAGGGATCCAGTTTCAGCTTTCTACATATGGGTAGCCAGTTTTCCCAGCACCATTTATTAAATAGGGAATCCTTTCCCCATTTCTTCTTTTTGTCAGGTTTGTCAAAGATCAGATAGTTGTAGATATGCGGCATTATTTCTGAGGGCTCTGTTCTGTTCCATTGGTCTACATCTCTGTTTTGGTACCAGTAACATGCTGTTTTGGTTACTGTAGCCTTGTAGTATAGTTTGAAGTCAAGTAGCTCGATGCCTCCAGCTTTGTTCTTTTGGCTTAGGATTGACTTGGCAATGCGGGCTCTTTTTTGGTTCCATATAAACTTTAAAGTAGTTTTTTCCAATTCTGTGAAGAAAGTCATTGGTAGCTTGATGGGGATGGCATTGAATCTATAAATTACCTTGGGCAGTATGGCCATTTTCACGATATTGATTCTTCCTACCCATGAGCATGGAGTGTTCTTCCATTTGTTTGTATCCCCTTTTATTTCATTGAGCAGTGGATTGTAGTTCTTGAAGAGCTCCTTCACATCCCTTGTAAGTTGGATTCCTAGGTATTTTATTCTCTTTGAAGCAATTGTGAATGGGAGTTCACTCATGATTTGGCTCTCTGTTTGTCTGTTATTGGTGTATAAGAATGCTTGTGATTTTTGCACATTGATTTTGTATCTTGAGACTTTGCTGAAGTTGCTTATCAGCTTAAGGAGATTTTGGGCTGAGATGATGGGGTTTTCTAGATACACAATCATGTCATCTGCAAACAGGGACAACTTGACTTCCTCTATTCCTAATTGAATGCCCTTTATTCCCTTCTCCTGCCTGACTGCCCTGGTCAGAACTTCCCACACTATGTTGAATAGGAGTGGTGAGAGAGGGCATCCCTGTCTTGTGCCAGTTTTCAAAGGGAATGCTTCCAGTTTTTGTCCATTCAGTATGATATTGGCTGTGGGTTTGTCATAGATAGCTCTTATTATTTTGAGATATGTCCCATCGATACCTAATTTATTGAGAATTTTTAGCATGAAGGGTTGTTGAATTTTTTCAAAGGCCTTTTCTGCATCTATTGAGATAATCATGTGGTTTTTGTCTTTGGTTCTGTTTATATGCTGGATTACATTTATTGATTTTCGTATGTTGAACCAGCCTTGCATCCCATGGATGAAGCCCACTTGATCATGGTGGATAAGCTTTTTGATGTGTTGCTGGATTCGGTTTGCCAGTATTTTACTGAGGATTTTTGCATCAATGTTCATCAAGGATATTGGTCTAAAATTCTCTTTTTTCGTTGTGTCTCTGCCAGGCTTTGGTATCAGGATGATGCTGGCCTCATAAAATGAGTTAGGGAGGATTCCCTCATTTTCTATTGATTGGAATAGTTTCAGAAGGAATGGTACCAGCTCCTCCTTGTACCTTTGGTAGAATTCGGCTATGAATCCATCTGGTCCTGGACTTTTTTTGGTTGGTAAGCTATTAATTATTGCCTCAATTTCAGAGCCCGTTATTGGTCTATTCAGAGATTCAACTTCTTCCTGGTTTAGTCTTGGGAGAGTGTATGTGTCGAGGAATTTATCCATTTCTTCTAGATTTTCTAGTTTATTTGCGTAGAGGTGTTTATAGTATTCTCTGATGGTAGTTTGTATTTCTGTGGGATCGGTGGTGATATCCCCTTTGTCATTTTTTATTGTGTCTATTTGATTCTTCTCTCTTTTCTTCTTTATTAGTCTTGCTAGCAGTCTATCAATTTTGTTGATCTGTTCAAAAAACCAGCTCCTGGATTCATTGATTTTTTGAAGGGTTTTTTGTGTCTCTATTTCCTTCAGTTGTGCTCTGATCTTAGTTATTTCTTGCCTTCTGCTAGCTTTTGAGTGTGTATGCTCTTGCTTCTCTACTTCTTTTGATTGTGATGTTAGGGTGTCAATTTTAGATCTTTCCTGCTTTCTCTTGTGGGCATTTAGTGCTATAAATTTCCCTCTACACACTGCTTTGAATGTGTCCCAGAGATTCTGGTTTTTTGTGTCTTTGTTCTCGTTGGTTTCAAAGAACATCTTTATTTCTGCCTTCATTTCGTTATGTACCCAGTAGTTATTCAGGAGCAGGTTGTTCAGTTTCCATGTAGTTGAGCGGTTTTGAGTGAGTTTCTTAATCCTGAGTTCTAGTTTGATTGCACTGTGGTCTGAGAGACAGTCTGTTATAATTTCTGTTCTTTTATATTTGCTGAGGAGTGTTTTACTTCCAACTATGTGGTCAATTTTGGAATAGGTGTGGTGTGGTGCTGAAAAGAATGTATATTCTGTTGATTTGGGGTGTAGAGTTCTGTAGATGTCTATTAGGTCTGCTTGGTGCAGAGCTGAGTTCAATTCCTGGATATCCTTGTTAACTTTCTATCTCATTGATCTGTCTAATATTGACAGTGGGGTGTTTAAGTCTCCCATTATTATTGTGTGGGAGTCTAAGTCTCTTTGTAGGTCACTAAGGACTTGCTTTATGAATCTGGGTGCTCCTGTATTGGGTGCATATATATTTAGGATAGTTAGTTCTTCTTGTTGAATTGATCCCTTTACCATTACATAATGGCCTTCTTTGTCTCTTTTGATCTTTGTTGGTTTAAAGTCTGTTTAATCCGAGACTAGGATTGCAACCCCTGCCTTTTTTTGTTTTCCATTGGCTTGGTAGATCTTCCTCCATCCCTTTATTTTGAGCCTATGTGTGTCTCTGCACATGAGATGGGTTTCCTGAACATAGCACACTGATGGGTCTTGACTCTTTACCCAATTTGCCAGTCTGTGCCTTTTAATTGGAGCATTTAGCCCATTTATATTTAAGGTTAGTATTGTTATGTGTGAATTTGATCCTGTCATTATGATGTTAGCTGGTTATTTTGCTCATTAGTTGATGCAGTTTCTTCCTAGCCTTGATGGTCTTTACAATTTGGCATGTTTTTGCAGTGGCTGGTACCGGTTGTTCCTTTCCATGTTTAGTGCTTCCTTCAGGAGCTCTTTTAGGGCAGGCCTGGTGGTGACGAAATCTCTCAGCATTTGCTTGTCTGTAAAGGATTTTATTTCTCCTTCACTTATGAAGCTTAGTTTGGCTGGATATGAAATTCTGGGTTGAAAATTCTTTTCTTTAAGAATGTTGAATATTGGCCCCCACTCTCTTCTGGCTTGTAGAGTTTCTGCCGAGAGATCAGCTGTTAGTCTGATGGGCTTCCCTTTGTGGGTAACCTGACCTTTCTCTCTGGCTGCCCTTAACATTTTTTCCTTCATTTCAACTTTGGTGAAATCTGACAATTATGTGTCTTGGAGTTGCTCTTCTCGAGGAGTATCTTTGTGGCGTTCTCTATTTTTCCTGAATTTGAATGTTGGCCTGCCTTGCTAGATTGGGGAAGTTCTCCTGGATAATATCCTGCAGAGTGTTTTCCAACTTGGTTCCATTCTCCCCGTCACTTTCAGGTACACCAATTAGACGTAGATTTGGTCTTTTCACATAGTCCCATATTTCTTGGAGGCTTTGTTCGTTTCTTTTTATTCTTTTTTTATCTAAACTTCTCTTCACGCTTCATTTCATTCATTTTGTCTTCCATCGCTGATACCCTTTCTTCCAGTTGATAGCATTGGTTACTGAGGCTTGTGCATTCGTCACATAGTTCTCGTGCCATGGTTTTCACATGTACATTTTTAACCTCAGCTAAAATATCAGTAGTACTCATTTTTGCAGCTTATAAAACTTCTGGCTGTTAAAGCTGTGTCAGGTTGAGATACTAGTGGGAAAAAAGATGCAAAATAGCTAAGCTGTATCAACAATCCATCACTTCCATTTATCCAGTAAACATTTGATATCAACCACTGAATGGCCAGCTAAAATAAATGGATGCTCAAAAAGTTATTGTCCCTCACCACACCCAAAAGTACTGAACTACTCACCCTCAAATTAGTCATCCTTCAAAACAGCTCAACCATCTCCTCCTCTGTATAGCTTTCCCTGATCCCACCCTAAACTGTGGGCTCCTTAAACGAACTGCATCTTATTCTTGTTTCCCTATGAGCTGGCATAGTGCACAGGGAGGGCAAATGCTAGCAATCATATAAAGAAACCCTTTACCACTGAACAGCTTTAAAGAGCAAACATTTTTTTAGGGTCAAGTATTAGCTCAGTCCTTAATGAATAAATATGAACAGTAATAAGGGAGAGCCTCAGACACTAGTAAGTTTCTAAGAATCCCTTGGTTGGTCAAAGGGTTTCAGTTTCCATTTTGCAGAATCAGTAAGTTCAGTGGATGTAATGTGCAGTATGGTGACTATAATTAATTATACTGTATTGTATAATTGAAATTTGCAAAAGGAGATCTTACATAGTCTCAGCACAAAAACAGAAAAAAGATAACCATCTGAGGTGATGGATATGTTAATTAGCTTGAGCGTGGTGATCATTTCACAATGTATACAAAAATTAAAACATCACCTTGTATACCTTAAATATGCATAATTTTTATCTGTCCATTATCTTCAATAAAGATGAGAGGGGGACATTCAAGAAAAACAAGAAATCCTGGAGATTTACAAGAGATATAATCTATTCTTATGCTGTGAGATCCTTCTGGTCACATGTAGTTTAGTCTGATTTATTGGATGTGTGAACTCACTTGGGCAAAAAAGAAAGGAGGAAGAAATGAAATGTGCTCTCTACAATGTATTAGAGATTTCCACCTTCTTATTTGAAAGATATTCCTGTAAAATGGAAAAATATATTTGTAATTATATTAAAGGACGTGAAACTTTTTGTAGAAATTGTTTCATTTAAAAAGCCAATATAGGCTAGGTGTGGTGGCTCACGCCTGTAATCCCAGCACTTGGGAGGCCGAGGCAGGTGGATCACCTGAGGTCGGGAGTTCGAGACCAGCCTGGCCAACATGGCAAAACACTGTCTCTACTAAAAATACAAAAATTAGCTGGGCGTGGTGGCGGATGCCTGTAATCCCAGCTACCTGGGAGGCTGAGGTAGGAGAATTGCTTGAACCTGGGAGGTAGAGGTTGCAGTGAGCCGAGATCGCGCCACTGCACTCCAGCCTGGGTGACAAGAGCGAAACTCCGTCTCAAAAAAATAAATAAATAAAAAGCCAGTATAGATTATTTTGTTTTTAAACACAATCTAAATATTATATTAAGGCTCATGGATATCATCATGGAAGAAGCATTAGAACAAACTTGTTAAAGAGAGTACTTTTATAAATAGCCCATAATAAACCATAGTTAGGATTCTTATTTGGGGATTCTAATTTATAATTAATTTTAAAAGATTAGGAGAAATGACTCTAGATGATGAGATTCTAGTGTATGAATCATCCAAAAAATGGTTCTAAAACAACACAATTCTCACTGGCAACAGATGACCATCAAGAGTCTTAATGAGCCAGTTCATGTGATGTCAAGCCCTTACTTTATATAAATCTATGGAGAACCAAGAGGAAAATTTAATAAGTTATTGTTTGGGACTAGATTTATGCAATGAATAGTAGTATTCAAAATAAAGCAAGGTTAAGACACAAATGATATAAAGTTTTTTATTTCTCTAAGGTTCACATTTGTAGAGCTTTTCAAACACATTTTTAGTCAGACTTCTTTATCACTGAAAACGTCTGCTATGGTTTGAATGTATAGGTCCCTCCAAAATTCATGTGGAAATTTAAACCCCACCTATGAAGAGGTGGGGTCTTTTCAGGGTGATTAGGCCATGAGAGCTTTGCCTTTATCAATGAGATTAATGAGATTAATGAGATGATCAATGAGATTAATGCCCTTACAATAAAGGCTTTGGGAGAATTGCCTGGCCCTTCCATATGGCTCTTCTGCCACGTGAGGACACAGCAACAAGGCACAATCTTGCAAGCAGAGATCCCTCACCAGATATCAAGGCTTGGTCTTGGATTTCCCAGCCTCCAGAACCATCAGAAGTAAATTTCTATTGTATAAACAATATATAAATATTGCCCAGTCCATGGCATTTTGTTATAGCAGCACAAACGAATTAGATAATGTCTCAACTCTCCAAGGCTTTGACAATGGGCATTCCTAGGTCTGTTCTTGGCTGTTACTTACTAGCTGTGTGGTTCTGTTCACCTCTCAAAGCCTCCATTTTCTCTCACTCCATGTCCCAAGTTTCTTGCTTACCTTCAGGCCTCCACACTCTCTCCCCCTTCAAGCCTTTTCTGACCACCTCTTAAACATGCTTTAGGCCTGAGTTGAGACATTTAGCTCCATAAACATTTACCTTGTTATCCATTTCTACCTCTAATCTGGGTTAGGTACCCCTCCTATGTGGGATAAAAACATCCTGTACTTTCCCCATCACAGTACTTCTCAGATTGTCATTAAATGCCTACAGATTTGTCTTTCCTCCTCCATTGTTCTATAAGCTTCATGAGGGAAGGACTTCTCCAGGCAAACTTTGACAGTGCCTGGCACTTAGCAGGCACTCAATAAACATTTGTGAAATAAAAGTGCTCGGAATCATTCATGAATGGCTTCTGTCAATGGAAATCTATCCATCAACTCAGGTTAGAAAGAACTTTATACACTTGGCTAACACAGAGGGTCAATATGAGAAACCCATTTAAGAAAAATAATGGTTGCACACATTAACCATTATGCTATTGAATGCCCTACTACATCAGGCGTCAAGGGATAATTCCTCTTTGACAAGGAAACATTTATATCTCTAGAGAGATAAAATTCTTGTATCAGATAATGAAAATTACACAACCCACTAAAAGGTAAGATCTCATTTCAGTAACTACTGTAATAAACTTATCTCAGATGCTTGGTCACATCTAATTCTCTGTGCTTTTCAATTTTTTGTCACAATTAACTTCTGCTGGAATTTTTATACATTATTTGTCTTTGTCTTCAAAAGACCAAGAAGTGCTCTGAAAAAATGAGTCAAGTTCAGATTTTATTTGCCCACATTCTGCATTGGGGTGGATACCCGCAAAGGGTCTCCTTTTATCCACCAGTCAAGAAATAGTCTCCTGACTCACTAGAGATGTCTTTTATATCCTAGGTAAGATAAACAGTGTAATATGATCCCATCAACAATTAAATTCTTTTGATTTTGCTACAAATTCTTAGTTGCCATACTTTTTATTCTCCTGCTAAAGACTGTAGCCACAGGGTCCTCTTTTCTGGGCAATCCCAGTTTTCTCATCTCCCAGAACCTAGAAAATCTAAATCTGGCTCCTGTGGCCCTCCTCATTTCTCTAGCCTGGTGCTTAATCTCCCTGGGTCCCAGTCACTCACAATAATTATTGTTAATAGGCAAGCAGGGGTAGGGGCAGGCAGAGGGCAAACATCCATTGAATTTCACCACCCAAGAGTTATGCTGGATTTTGTTCATCTATGAAAATCAAGAATCAGTATATAAGTATCAATGGTTTGGTTGTGATTTTATTTTTAATAATCTTGTTATGTTTAATTGTGCAAGTCATTCTCAAACCATTTTGAAAGTAGGTTGCATAGACACCCTAAGTAAATAGAACCAGAATCTACTAAAATTTAGACAATATTTCTTTTATTGTATATGTTTTCAAGATTTTCTGGACCTGATCTACCAGCATAAAGATGAGTCATCAAAAGCAAATGATAATACCCAAGGCATTCAATATGGGTTGACTCAGACCAGAAATGTCTGATCACCCTGATCAGAGAAAATATGGCAACAAAAAGAGTTACCTGGCACTCTAGAATTAAAAAGTTTAGAAGCAGACAGGAAAGGGTGGCTTCAGGAGAGAAAAATCCATAGCAACTCATTCCTACCAGCACTAGAAAGCTTAGAATACTATCAGGCCTCTAGGACATATACAATGCAATATTTGACTACATCATATTGCACACAGCACAGTGGCAATCAATATTTACAGCAACTTTGGGGATACCTGCCTCTTAAGATTCTTTATCATCACACACTTTTTCAAAACTACCAAAACAGTTCCAATCATCCTAAAGTACCTAAATGCAAAAGAAACCACAATTTCTCAAAACAGCACTTGAAAATCATAGTATAAGGGACAAACAGTTTTACCCATTAACAAGCAGCACTTAATGCTGAATGTCTCACTGCAATAGGTGAGCAATAAGTGAATTAGAACGGTGTATTAGTTTGCTAAGGATGCCACAAAGTACCACAGACTGGTAGTTTAACCAACAGAAATGTATTTCCTCACAGTTCGGAAGGCTAGAAGTCCAAGATCAAGGTGTCAGCAGGGCTGGTTTTATTCACAGGGCTCTCTCCTTGGCTTGCAGACAGCCGCCGTCCATCTCACTGTGTCTTCACATGGTCTTTCCTCCAACACACTAGTGTCTGTGTCCAAACTTTCTCTTTTCATGACAATAGTAATATTAAATTAAGGGCCACCCAAAAGATTTCATTTTAACTTAATTACCTTTTTAAAGACTTCATTCCAAATATAGTTACATTCTTAGGTACTAGGGGTTAGAACTTCAACGTACGAATGCAGAGTGGGAGACACACAGAGCATAACAGATGGTTCTACTCAACAAACAGCATTATTTTCAATCCTATTTGGGACCTTCCGTGTTTTCCTCATATAGTTACAAATTGACCAAAATAATTCCACTCTTTTTCTCACTTAATGTGAACAGATATGCAATCATCAGAATTAGGTTCAGCTCACTTGCAAATTGGTAGTCCAGTGCTGTGACCACAGCAGCCACGGTGAAGGAGACTCCAAGCAGACAGCCCATGCTGGAGTCCCTGCATGTGACTGAATCTCGCCAGCCCGCATGTTACTCAGCAGTAAAATGGGGATAATCACATCTTCCTCACAGGGTTATCAAAGGAACTTAAATAGGAGACTATGGGTACACATAGGGCTTGGCACAGTGTCTATCACCATAATAGAAAGCCTTCCTTCTGCAGATCTCTTGAAACTGGGAAGTAAAGCATTTAACCTTCGAGTTAGCAGCATCATAAACCCCGAGACTCCTGAAATGGAAAGCAATGTTCACATAGTCTCCTCTAATTCCTTCGGACTAAGGCCCAGAGTGTGTGACCAGCTCTCTGAAGCAGAGGTGAAATTGGAAGTCTTGACTCCAAATTCCTAAGGCCAGTGCCTTCCCTGATTCCCTCTCTCAGATGTGTAAGAGAAATGACAGCAGTGAGCATGATGGGCTGCTAGTTGGAGAGAAAAAGGCCAGCAATGACACAAAAGGCCTGCCAATCTGGATTCAGGAATCACAAAAATTTAGAAACCAAGACGTAAGACAGCAACACCACAGCTCAGGCTGGTATAGGTCAAGGTGCCTCAAGCTGTCCCCAGCCACAGCTCCTGACTCCTGTCCTGGTCTTACTCGACCACAAGAGAAAAATGAGGCAGGAGGCCTGTTTCTTCTCCACATGTTCCTTCTTACAACCATATTTAAGTTCAATCTCCAAATCCGCAGAGCTGAAAAAAACATTTAGCCAAATAAAGCTGAATATCCCCCTTAGGATCCAGGGACTCCCACCAGGCAGTTTGCCTTCTGTTTGCAGCTTGGTAATTCAGGTTCTTTAAGAGAGGGGGCCTCACCAGTCCTGACTCACCCCAGGAGTTTGGTGCTTTTGGGCTTCCACACCTCTGCCTGCCACTTCCTGTGGAGTCTGCGTCTTTCTCCTTCCCACACCTTTCAAAGTCTAAAGCACCTGCTATGGGCTCCACTGGGCCCTGCCACTATGCCCTTGGCATTCACTTCCACACACTGAAGGCAGCTGACTGGAACTGCCTGAGACCCTGGGCCTGAGGGCTTTGTACTCTACCCAGGAGGAGGTAGTAAAGTGTTACTGCCCCAAGAAACAGACTTCAGCCAACAACAGCCTGGCAGTTAGTGGACAAAACTCTAGCTCCCTGCCTCTAGGTGGGATAACTCTCTGGCATGAGTCCACAGACTCCCAGAGCTCTCAGTGAGAATCCCAGCTGCCCAGAGGAGTAAACAGCTTGAGAACTCACCCTTTCCTAGCTCCTCCCTCCTTGTCTCAGGGTCTGCTACCAGGGGACCCAAAACCAAGGCAGCCTCCTGTAGGAGTCCCATGGAATCCCACCTTCCCCAGAAAACCTTCCCTCATCACCAAGATCTCTCAAGTCACTTTCTATCATGTTTTAACACTATTCGTGTACACTGTAATCTCATTTCTCTACCACAGGCTCTTGAAGACGAGAAATTCTTTCATACAGCTCTGAATTCCCCCGTGTTGCTCAGCACAGTGTCTTACGCAAACGAGAAGCTCAATAAATGTTTGTTGACTGAATGAAGAATGAATTAACCATGTCAGTCAGCAAGAAGGTTGGGCTCTGTATTTAAGCTAACTGAAACTATATCAGTGTAGCTGTCTGCTTCTTTCCAAAACACAGCGTGAACTGCTTTTAACGAGCAAAGTACTGCCTGCATGTATTTCTTTAAATCAGCATTTTCTAGATATTCATCTTAAATCAAACACCTCTGATTCCCAGAAAATCAGAATAAAGATTGTTTTCCTAAATCCGAAACTACCTTACTCTCCAAGTTTTGGGTCTACTCCTCAGTTTTTGGAGTCAGCCACCCAATGTGGATGTCTTACACTGATTTCACCCGGAGTTCTCCCTGGGCATCATTCAAGATGAATGTACAAAGACATGTCACATCACCACACTCTCTCGCTGGAGTAGCGTTCTATTAAGAAGGAACATAATGCTGCCTTTTTAACCAAGAAGGCATTACCCTTGATGCATCCTAAGAATTCTTTCCTCTCTGCATCGGGCAGGGGCTAAAAGAAGCACAGGGATTTCACTTCACAATAAACAGGACAGCATGCTGAGGACCTGGGTGTTCACCTCGGACCAGTCAGATGGCCTGGAAACTTAAATACCCACATATACGCAATAGCCTGCAAGTCGTGTCATGTTCTTTAATGGATGTCTGGTGAGCAGCTCTGGGAAAACTGGACAAGTACCAAGTGTCTCGCGAGCATGCTTTCAACTCAATGGAAGTATGTTATCTGAATTCCCAGTGCTCACTACCTTGAGCACCTATCAACCCAGGGCCTACCAAATTGTCTCCATTTTTTTTTCTTCAGCCGACTTTGAAGAGAGAAAAGATTACATAGTGGACCCCTCCCTTCTCACTTACTAAAGTCAGAAAAAGACTGACTGAAGCCAAAGGGAAGACAAGCAGCATTTCTTATGACCTGAGCTGCTCTCACCAGATCATAAGTTCCATGAGATCAATGCCTCTTCTCCTCAATGTAGAATCCCCCAACATCTCAGCGCAGTGACTGCCTCACGGAGGTAATAATAATTCATTGTCAACAAACACGTGCAAGCACCACATGTTATCTCATCTAATCCTTGCAACAACCTACAGCTTCGGAAGGAAACTAAAGCTTAAGAAGCTTAGAATATATCCAAATAATGGTATATTACTCAGCTACAACATGGATGAACCTCAAAACATTATGCTAAGTAAAAGAGGTCAGTCACAAAAGGCTGCATATCGTATGAAATGTCCAGGACGCGAATGCATGGAGACAGAATGTAGATTAGCGGTCACCAGGGGCCTAAGGAAGAAGGGAATGGGGAGTGACTGCTAATGGGTACAGGGTTTCTTGGGGATGATGAAAACGTTCTAGAATTAGATTGTGGTGATAACTGCAAAATTTTGTGAATGTAATTTTAAAACACTGAATGGTAAACTTTAGAAAAGTGAGTTTTATGATAGGTGATGACGGTCGTGGTGGAGGTGGTAGAAGAGAAGGAGGAGGAGGAGGAAAAGGAGAAAGAGGAGGAAGAGGAAAAATGAAGAAAAGGAAGAAGTTAAGAAGCTTGCCCAAGATCAAAGAGTTACCCATGCTTTCAACCATTGTGCCACTCTAATCATGGTTATTCTCAGTAAACATTTGCTGAAAACACCAGCAAATATAATTATGGGTAATATAGGCTTTGGCATAATTCTGATCACACACAGAGAAGAGACAATCAATCCTCAGACCTTCTGAGACTTCCAAGGACTGATAAACATTAAGAATTGTTGCTCTAACATCAATCATACCTCAATAAAGTGGATAATAAAAATCAAAATAAAAAATATCTAAAATGCTTGTTTGACACTAAAAAAAAAAAAGGAAAGACAAGAAACGTTACCCTAGTGATCTTTTCAAAATCTTCTGTAACCTGGAATAACGGCTATTTTAGAGGAAACACTAAACAAAATTTTAAAAGAGGAGCACCCTGAGAGGAGTGTAATTAAAGGACCTCTAAGGCCATAACTAAGACCTTTGGGGCTAAATAAAATAGAAATCTGACCATGTCTCTTCCATGCTTACTGCCATCCAATGGCTTCAGACCCACACTCCTCACCATGGACCACAGTCCTTCATCGCCTGACTGCACAGCTGCTTCCTCTCTGATCTCGTCTCCTCGTTCTCCCACTATCCCCTGCCCTGCACTGCATAATGGCCTCTGCCCTTCTTGAACATCCCACATCCTCCTTAGCTCTGGCTGTCTTGCTGTCCCAGCTGTGCAGAACCCTCAGCCTTCCAGCAACGTGTTGTGGCTCCTCTTTGACAACCAGGGCTCAGCTCAGGTTCCCTCCTCAGATAGGCCTTCTTGCTTCTTCTGACCATCTAAATCATGCTGGACACCCCACCTCCAGTCCCTCTCCATCCTATATGTCTTTATGTGGTGGCCCACTGTTTGCCTCCTCCTCTGGAATGAAGCTCTAAAAGGGAAGGCACAAGTCTTGTCTATCTTATTCTCAGCAACATCAGCACCTATAACAGCCAGAGGCACATAGCAGATGCTCACTCAACATTTGCTGAACAAATGAATAAAACACACAGCACTGCCATGAGATGCCTCCACAAGCCAGATGCAAACCAGGCTCTCCTCTCAGGAACTCCTGTCAGGTTAGTCCTCACAAGCTGGGCTTCTGGGCCTGGTGAGGTCACCAACTCTGAAGATTCTATGGTCACCACCTGGATTAACTTATGGTAACACCTTTATGTGCTCATTCCTCCACACCCTGAGCCCACATACTTACCAGACACCTTTCCCTCCTTTGATAACTTAACACCTCTGTCTGTAATGTAGCAATGATCATCCTATAGTGGAAATGAGGTCCCTCTTTCCTCAGAAGCTCTTTTGGGTCCTCTATTACTGACTTAAACATTCTCCTGACTCTCTACCTTTATTCTAACACATATCAAACTTTTTGGTTAATCCCAGACAGAAGTAATCTAAACTAGAGCCCACCCCCAGCAACACATCTCATGTTCTAACACAGTTCCCTCATTTCCAGTTCATCATGCCAGCCTTGCACACTCAGGTTGCACTCAGAAAGCTCAGGACAGCATGGGGGATGTATTACATTAGTCCATTCTCATGCTGCTCATAAAGACATACCTGAGACTAGGTAATTTATAAAGAAAAAAAGCTTTAATGGACTCATAGTTCCATATGGCTGGGGATGCCTTATAATTATGGCAGAAGGTGAAGGAGGAGCAAAGGCATGTCTTACATGGCGGCAGGCAAGAGAGCATGTGCAGGGTAACTGACCTTCATAAAACCATCAGATCTCGTGAGACTTATTCATTATCACAAGAACAGCAGGGGAAAAACCCGCCCCCATGATTCAGTTACCTCCCACTGGGGCCCTCCCATGACACATGGGGATTATGAAAGCTACAATTCAAAGTAAGATTTGGGTAGGGACACAGCCAAACCATATCAAGGGAGATAGCACTTGAGTGCAGCTCTCATGGCCTCTCTCTCACTGCAGTTAGTTTTCCCTTCAGAGACCTCCATTTGTCCCCAGTTCATAGCCTCCTCTTGACCTCATCTCCCTTCTAACCCAGACTGGATCCTGATACTTAACTATGCAAGTTATTCATGAGTATTCAAAGAGCTTTGCCTACACTGTTCTTATTCTGTGCTACCACAGAGATTGAGCCCTGGGTCCACACTACAGTCTGCCTCCTTCATTCACACTCTGCAGTGACAAAGCACTCCAATTTTTAAAAATAATACAAATAAAATATAAAAAACAACACCAGAAAGAAATACACAAAGACTAACACATAGCACATGATTTCTAATGAAGGTTGCTCAAAAATTCTTGCATTTGACCTTGATGGGCTTCCTCACTCATTCTTCCCAGCAATTTTGTCATTTTCCTCAAGCCCCAACCCAACCTCCCTCTCCATCCCAACCCCTACAGTAGATAACTTCAGAAATGTGTTTCTTCAACTCCATCCCCTCACCTGCAAGTCAATCTCCATCTGCACACACCCTACAGCTTCACACCAGTGCAGGACAACCTGTCTTTACCGGTTCAAAACTAAGTTCTGCCCTTGGGCTTTGATCTCATTCCCTTCAGTCTCTACCCAGCTCTTGCCCTATAGATATCTCCTCTCTCCTTTCTGCATCTTCAACCTCCCACTCTTATCAGCTCCGTCTCTCAGTCCACCAAACTTGCTCTGTTAACTTGCTCTGCCAACTTGCTCTGTCATCATTAAAAAGCCCTGCCTTGATCCCAATGTCTTCTGCTCTCTTTTCTTCTCATCCAAACCTCCTCAATGGATATTTGCTGCCTCCACATCATCTCCTCTCATTCACTCCCAGCCTACTGTAACCCGGTTTCTGTCCCCTCTCATTTCCTCCACCCCAGAGTTTCATTGAAACTGCTGCTTTCCAACCACCGGTGACTGCTCAAATGGCAAATCCAAAGGGCAAATTTTGCCTCTTACCTCATTAGATTATTCCACAGCATGTGCCAGTAGATGGCTCTACTGCAGATGACACTGTAAATCACACCTTCCCATTTTGAAACTCTGTTTAATCATTCTCCTGATTGTCCTATTTCTCCAATCACTCCTTCTCAATTTCCTTCATGGGTGCCTCCTCTTCTCCCCTCCTCTTACCTGTCTTCTCAGCTTCTGTCTCCTTACTCTACCTACCCTCCCTCGGTAACCTCATTCACAGCCATGTTGGTCATTAACATTTATATAAAAATACCTACCAAGTCTACTATCTCTAGCTCCCATCTCTCCCCTGAGGTTATATCCAGCTACCTCCTAGACATGGCCACATGTATGTCCCAAAGCCCCTCAAATCTATCATGTCTCTTCTGATGCCACATTCTCTTCCCTTCACCATTTAACCTGTTTGTTCCCTGGTACTGCCCATTTCAGCTAGACATCACCCTCAAACCAACCAACCAATCGAGGTACCTCTGTTGGCTTTAACTATCCTCTCTGCCTTGTTATCCACATGGAGCAATCCTAATAATTTTTATCAACTGCAGATTTATTGAAAGTATTCCCTCTCCACGCCTCTTAGCACTTCCTGAGAACAGGACCTCTGTTTATTCCCCTGACTTGATTTTTCAGTCTAGGGGATAATGGCCCAGCACTGACACGTGAAATACCAGAACTTCCATGAGCTGAGCTGTCCCTAGGCTTACCTCTCCCAACTCATCTTCCTCGTCTCAATCTTGTCATTTATGAGGAAGGTCAACAAAAGGCTCATGCTCCTCTAACATGCCACACTGCAACGTGGCCTTGCCTCTTCAGATATACTATCTCACATGCCTAGAACACACTTCAAGATTTAGCTCAAGCATCACCTTTCCCAAGACGCCTTTTCACACTCCTCCAGCCTGAGAGCTGCCACTCCTTGGTGCTACCATAACATTCCATTTTAACCTCCAGCATATTTCATACTCTTCTAAAATTACGTACTTGTCTATCAACCTTCCCCCAAGTAGACTCTAAATTCCTCAAGTCAGGGACTGCTCATAATAGGTGCTCAACCTGATTCCTTTGCATGCTAAATGTTACTGATAACTTCTGGCACATTTCCAGACCTCTAAGTACCCTGGCCATCCCATATGACCCTTTCTCTGCCATGTACTAATTGACTGGGAGGCTCTGCTATGGCTGAGATATTTTATTGCTCAAAACACACAGCAGGGTTGGTTGCGATCATCTCGCTACAGTTTGAAATGATGGTCTCCACCGCAGTAAGAGTTAAAGGAATTGAGGACTTACACTAAAATTAGCTCTATCTTGCCACTCAACATAGTGTAAGATTTGGCAAGACAAGTCCCTTAGGCAGACAAACTGCTGACACAGCATGGTGAAACGGAACTCAACCAAAGAGGAAAACCTGCAATACCTTTACATAGGCAATTCTGAGTTCTGCTGATTCATTCTGACTTAAAGCTGCAATAACACTTGGTAAGGAACACCCAAGCTGACTTTGCATTTTTTTCTGCAGAGCTCACAGAATTTGGCATACAAAAAATTTAATAGTTGTTCTTTATAATTCTTTGCAATTTCTCAAATATTGGTTGTGGTCACTTACATTATAGTGTTTGATAGCATTAACAGGTATTTTTCTTGCAAAGATGCAGTCCTGATCAAAATACTGACAAAAGCTTAAAATACTGACTATAATTTCTGTAACTCAAGAAAACCACATAGAAAATCTCTTTCACCAAAGAAAGGCTCACTGCTAGATCTATTTGAGGCTGAAGAGCCTTAGTTAAGTCAACAGCTCTTGTTCACACTTTGTACAAAGACATCTGTACAACTGATTTGAACTTAGGAAACAGCATTTAAATATCAACAAACACATGCTCAGAGACAATCGGGTAAATTTTCATCAGGACCAAAATTTCTAAGAAACCATATTAGAGCAAATTATAAAGCAAAGAATCTTCTCAAAATAGGTATTTGCAAGTCATCACTTACTCTGTTCTTCCCACAGAAGTCATGCGAATTGCATTATAAAGAGTAAATGGAAGAAATTTCTAGACTGTAGTCAAATTATACTTGAATCAGTAAATTTATCATGCTTCTTATATATAGTGATGATTATAATTAACATTTAATTAACTGGATTACTTCAAATATTTATTCCATTTAAAATTATAATATGTAAGTGCTGGGTTTGAGATGCTTAACATGTTAAATATCTTTTATTTCGGAAAAAAATATATAATTCACCATTCAGAATTTTATACTTTACATGCTCTATAATAATCTGCTAGAAAATAGTTGTTAAACAACAGACATTATTTTGACTAAACCGATATTATAAAAACAAAGCTTTATTGCACCTGCTTCTTAAGAAGATTATGTCTAAATACTCACTTGTTCAGTATGAGGTCAAGAATGAATTTGGAGCCGAAGGCTTCAATCTGGAAGCTTGCCTGGGCCAGATGGACAGCCTATGGATTCAAAAAGACAGAAGAACCTTAACTTACTTTCCTGTCTTTAAGACAGATTATTATCAAGAATGATATTTAAGACGAATAACTTTTATGTATCAGTTCATTTCCTTATGTATCATCATATAGCAATTCATTTCTTTAGGAGACTAGATACAATATCATGGTTTTGCTAGGAAAATCTAAATATTTGGGTAGCAAAGAGCTAATAAGACAACACATCCTTGAAAATGAACCCACTAAGATAAAAACCAACAGCATATTCTGCTGGACTTACAAAGTGACCGTGACGAATTATGCAAAAGTCTGACTAATTAAAGCTTGATTTCAGCCCGTTTTGTGCATAAAGCTAAACAACTCTTTCTGCACACCTAAGTGAAAAATCATGTCAGTGCTCTGCTCTTCAGCAGGAATTAGAACTTTCTTGGAACGTTCTCTAAATGATGTATCAGCAGAATATGACAGTAAAATGGGAGAGTACAACCTTGTAACTTCAGAAAGCACTTAGAACCTGGCCTTTTGTGAATACTGAGAGCTTATGTCCCCCTTTAAGAGTCATATGTTTATAAATATTGTCATTATTTTGTCTTAATTCAAACTACAAAGATAATTCCATCTAAACATGAATCCTATTTACTAGATGTTAAAGATTATTATAGCTCACAGAAGCATCTTGAATATTGCAAATTAACAAATCAATAAAGTTTTGTCAAAGTATTAGCTAACATAAAACTCTCCTTTGTCACACTATCAGGAAAAAAAAAAAAAAAGAACAAGGCTAAATGAAACACCTACACTGTACTTCCTTGACTCACTAACGTCCTTCCTCCAGAATTGCATTCCTAAGGCACAGTGGGTGCTGCAAATCATCTGTGAAGTGCTTCATGCATGGTAACTGGACACCAGCATGAACACACCAGGCATCTCCCTCCCAGTACTTTCTATTCCCTCCTTCCCCCCAATACTACCCCATGCTCCTCTTTGCCTTCCCTGTATTTATGATGATTGAAACTCTCCCCATCCTTCAAAGGCGTCCCACCTGCAATGCTTTTCATGAAGTCTTTCTTCACACAGTCTTCACGTTCAGGGCTTTGGAAGCACTTTATTTGTGCTTCCCTGTCTCTCCCTTTCCCATCCCTCCCCTGGGTGGTAAGCTCCACAACATATATCACAGGGGTCTTGCAAACAGGTCTAGATTAATGACTCTTCCCCAGCATATCTGACCTTCCAAGTAATTCACCAAATATTCATTGTCAAGATCTTTTTGCCATACCAAACCCATAAAACACTATAAATAAACCATGACTTATACTTTCAGTCAAGCACACTGCCAAATCAGATAGTCACTCAATAATAATCCATAAAATGTAAAAAGGAAATTAACAAATATTAAATTTTAAATACAGAACAATGAGAAACAAGGCTCCTAAATCCTTAATGCCATAGGACACCAAGTCAAATTCCAAACAACCTTCTAGAACAGGGTCACCATACTTGTGGGCTTCCTGTATCCATACAACTATGAGTGAGAGAGAGAGAGAAAGAGAGAGAGAGAGAGAAACTTCTGTCAAGTGTGGTCTCTGTTATCCACAACAGAACCTCTATTCAATACAAATATCCACTAGTCTTCAAATTCATTCTGTACCTTGAAGCATTAATTTTTGCATAAAGATATTTATATTGATGAATAATTTGTACAAGGAGAGATTTTTCAGCTCTAGATCAAAAAAGCTTTAAGTATGTAAAATTTACTTCCTAAGAATAAGATAAATCCTTAAGTATAGTTTCTCTTAAGAATATTATACAGTAGAGATGAGTTCATTAGTGGCACCCTGGTCTAAAAGAGCTGATAAATATACCTCCTTGAACATCTTTATAAACACTAAGAAGAACTTGACAGAGACTCAGTAAAAGGCTTATTTTATAGCAAATAAGTGATGTGACAAGTACAAACACTGACAACACTCTTGCAAAATAAGGTAATCTGGTGGTAAATGTAGTACCTTCATTTTACAGAATTGTAGGAGTTACACAATTTGATAATTGCTAGAATAGGTTTATACCAAGTCAATGTGACTAGCTTCAGTTTAATAGAATTTAATCAAAGAGCTAGTAAATCATACTGGGTTTTCCTTTTGCTTTTGCATTCAATCATTCCACACAAACATATTAAGTCCTGCTTTGCATATAAAGATAGCTGGGACACAGCTTCCGCCCTCTAAGAAGTGATGGTCTCCAGAGGGGCAGGTACAACTGTCAGCCTCAGCTTGTCTAATGGGCCACAGGGACCATGGCTGAACCCCATCCAGGCACAGAGAGGTGCAGAAAGGATCCACTGACAAGGTGCTATTTGAACAACAACTCAAAAGATGAATAAGAATCCACGTGTCAGAGAAAGAAAAGACACTCAAGGCATGGAGGAAAACATTTATAAAAATCGAGTCAAAATGAATGTGAGAAAAATAAGCTTTTTAAATTTTTTAAAAAATGAATATGGCCTGTAGGAAAATGGTTTTCAGATGAAATGTCAAACAATGAATCTGAAAAGGTGGGATGGAGACTGGCAGGCTTCACGTGACATGATCAGTGACATTTATGATCGCAAACAAGAACATGTGGCCAAGACAATGAGCCTTCTCCTAAATGGCCACTCCCTCAAACTCACTCAGCACCATTTCTGGCACACGCCATCATCATCATCATCATCATCATCATCATCATCATATCATTATGATTCAAACATCTTAACAGATTACTCTCCAGAACTGAAGCAATTTATCATGCCAGCAACAAGATATCTGTTTATCCATAGGAAAAAAAAAACCTGATTTTATTACCTTTATCAGTAAGAATGTTTTAATATTTTAATTCTAAGAGGAAGCACATTTTCTATAAAATGATTTAAGATTTCCTCACCATATTCATCTTCTTTGTCAATGTATCAAATGGAATTAGTTTCATCTAATACATTTATATCCATTTTAAGTCATTTAAATATATTGATGTATGTTATTTTGCTTACATTCTGTTTCTCTTTCCATTGCTATACATTCTGCAAGTGCTTAGACAGTACAGATTCTTCTCTATACCAAAATAAATACCTGACAAGTGCTACTTTTCCCTATCATTTTATTTCTGCCCTGTCTTAGACACAATTAAAATAGTGTTTAACTTCTGGATGCTATGCAGTCCATTTCAATTTGTCACTTTTTCTTTAACAAAATATTACACAGTTTTTATATATGCCCATTTTAAATGTTTTCAAATCATGTAAAGTGAGTCATTATTTTATAAACCACATTGTTGTTTTATATATATATATATATATATATATTTTTTTTTTTTTTTTTTAACAGAATATTGGCTTGCTTCTTCCAAATGGTAGAAAAGTTAGAAGAATGGCTGGGATGAGTACAAAGTCTTACAATATACAGCCATATCATTTTTAGTTGATTTAACAGATTTTAGAGATAATGAACTGACCAGCATCACTGAAATCCATTAAAAATACAAAGACTACCTACAGTATTGTTCTTCTTTTACAAAGGAACTATACAGTGAGGTTTAGAAATGTGTTCAGTAATACAAAATCAGATCCTAGGAATGCTTCAGAGAAGAGTTCATGAACCACATATTAGGTCATAATCAGTTATTTTCTCTTTCGGGATATCTGTTAAACAGCCTTGCTTTTATAAGGACATTCACTATAATAGCACTGGGGAAGAATGCAGGGTTTTATAGCCAAAGAACATCATTTCACAACAAGAATGAGCATGTCCCTGGGCTCAGAATTACCACCCTGAAGGACTGAGAACAGCTGCTGCCTAACCACTTTAGTATTTTTCTTTTAACTCAGAATCTGGCACAGGGAAATTACAGGAGCTCTGAAAAGAAAAACAATTAAACTCAATTATATACACAAACCTCCTTCACTGGAGAACAGTTTACACGTCTTAGCAATGTGCTTTTGTTTTTATTTTTTCTTTCTAGTGGATGGCATCTAATGGTATATTAAATAACTTTAAGAAAGCTATTGGGTTCTTCGGCTAAGACTTGTTTCTCACCTTATCATCAAGCAATGTTATGACATTAAGCAATCATACATGCTCAACTCTGTGTAGGGTACATTAAATAGGCTCAATAGATACTATTGTGTTTTCTTGGGACTTATATTCTAGAATAGCTAATATAGACATAAAAACAAGAAGAAAAATAACTCTATATCTAATCATAAAAATAAAAGGCAGCCATTTGCAGGATATACATGTTTTCATGCAACTATGTTTCACACATAATAGGTGTTCAAACAGTATTCTTCACTACTTGGCAAGAATTTGTGAGTTCTGTAGAGCGTACCCATAACTGGAACTGAAAATGGGAAATAACATTTTCCCAGAATTCAAAAAATATCATAAGGCTGAATTTCTACTAAATTGTAAAATTTAGTAGAAATTGAGCAACTTGGGTAACTGAGTGCCTACACTATGGATCATCACATCTTCTGAGACATATATTTCACCTTAGTATGCTCTAAACCAGTGGTCCCCAACCTTTTTGGCACCAGGGTCCAGTTTCACGGAAGATAATTTTTCCACGGATGGGGTGGAGTGGGGGATGGTTTCAGGATGAAACTGTTCCACTTCAGATCATCAGGCATTAGATTCTCATAAGGAGTATGCAACCTAGATCCATCGCACGTGCAGTTCACAATAGGGGTCATGCTCCTATGAGACTCTAATGCCACTGCTGATCTGACAGGAGGTGGAACTCAGGCAGTAATGCTCACTCACCCACCACTCACCTCCTACTGTGTGGCCCAGTTCCTAACCGGCCACAGCCTGATATCAATGTGACCTGGAAGTTGGGGACCCCTGCTCTAAACTATAGGTGGTGTGAGAAACATAACAGAATTTGGAAGTGGTTTCCTGATCTTAAGATATATTCAGTTTATTTAGGGAGATATTCATTTAAGTAATGAACGAAACATGCCCAAAGTGGAATATCAATAGACAAGAAAATGTTTTACAAACAGAGGTAAGAAGCCCTTTAGGGTATCAAGCAGGCCTAAGCAAACACCAGTGGAATGATTCACATTCAACTTCGTAAAGAAGAGGGCTACAGGTCTCGGCTTCAGGAAAGAGGGCATTAGAGACCGCAAAAGTCAGTAAGCAGATGCCTGTCTTCTCTGTTTATTCTAACATAGAAAAAACAATGTTTATTCTATGTCTGTTAAAACACTGAATACAGCAGCTACACTGTATACATGTGACAGGTGTGTGAGTGTGTGTGTGTAACCATAACCTTTTCAGGAAGTATTTTATTTCCTTTATCTTGTTGCATACGGTTCTTTTCCTTACCTTTACAGTTTTTCAATAGACCCTTCAAGAGTTTCCACTCCATTATCTTCAAATATGGTGGAGAAAGGTCATAGAATATAAAACATCACCTTTTTTTGAGATTCAGGACATTTTATAATGTTTCAGAGAAGGCAGATTTGAAAATTCACCAACTAACAAGATGGGAGGAGGAAAATTCGCTAATTTGATGCTAGAGGGACCCTGCCTTTGTCATCATGGGTTGAGCTGCTGAGAACAAGAGTCCACTTCACCAGGAAGACTTTCATCAGCGTGGCTGTTTGGTATGTTTTTCTTTTCATACGAAAACAGTAGGCACAGAATCCAGCATCCCAGATAATTAAATATCAATGAGAATAAAATGTCAACTTTAAATTGAAATAAGTTTGAGGAAAAGAAGTCACTTCTTTTCAATCACAGAGGTTTTTCTAAAGAGGACTAGTTTGGACCTATCCTGTAGCTAGAGAAACATGAAAGTCCAGCTTGTGAATCTTTTTCTGTATAATGCAAAAATCCAAATATGTAAATATATCTTAAAAGTTTTGAAGTCCAAAAGAAAATATCAACAGACCATTTTTAATTGTAATTTTGTTCTAATCCCTCATTCTAAATTGATACACTGGTGATTGCACAGGTTTGTGTTATGATAAAAATAATAATGCCTCACATTTCTTACATTTTAATCATCTCAAAGTACTGTCATGTCTATCTAGAACACAGCACCCCATGCAATTGGTACAGCAGACATTTTTATTACCCTTTTATAGAAAAGAAACTTTTTTAAAGGGCAGAGAGAGATTAACTAATGTTATTGTCCAAGGTCATAGATCAAAGGAAGAAACATGAGGTGTTAGTTTTAGTTAAATGACAAAAAAGTGCCATACTTATGCCAGAAGTCCTTACATCTGCAAGCCTCAATGTTTTCCGGTCAATAAAATACAAATAATAATAGCTTAACAACATGATGTGTGCGAGGATTAAATAATACAATAATGCAACTGACGGCCAGGCGCAGTGGCTCATGCCTGTAATCCCAACACTTTGAGAGGCTAAGGCAGGAGGATCGCTTGAAGCCAGGAGTTCAAGACCAGGCTGGGCAACATGGTGAAACCCTGCCTCTATGAAAAATACAAAAATTAGCCAGGCATGGTGGTGCATGCCTCTAGTCCCAGCTACTCAGGAGGCTGGGGCAGGAGAATCACCTGAGCCCAGGTGTTTGAGGCTGCAGTTAGCCAAGATCATGCCACTGCACTCAGTCTGGGTGACAGAATGAGACCCATTCTCAAAGAAAATAGCAATAATAATAATGTGACCAATGTAGCTCAGCCACAGTGAAAAAGCTCAGTCATTTAGGAAGGAGACAGTAAAGTAGGAAAAAGAGAAAAAAGAATACAGTAACATTTTGGAAGGGTATCAATCAACCCCACCCTAAAGTTCCCTCCCAGGATAGTTAGCCACCATCTAGCAAATTCCAATGTGCATTTACACTCAGCAAAATTTGCAAATTTTGTATTTTTATTGCTAATTACCATTATGTATTATGCTTTGACCTTGTTCAAGTTGTCATGTCTTCAAAATAATATGAATCATTTTCCACAGAAGTGAAACAGCTGCAAATGCTACATGAAGGCGGTTCTGCAAATTAGGGTAATTTGCTGAACATTCTTGCCATGATGCATTTAAACAGGTAGTTTGAAGGAGAAAAATATTATCATGTTTTCTTCTACCATGTTCCAATTGATAGTATTATGGGCTAACCAGCAACAATTTGTATTAAATACCTACCTTATGTAAGATACTAGAGCAGATTAGTATAGGAGAGTTAGTTTTGTTTTTCTGGTTTTTTTTTTTTGTTTTTTTTTTTTTGAGACAGGGTCTCACTCTGTTGCCCAAGTTGGTGTGGAGTGGTGCAATCACAACTCACTGCAGCCTTGACCTCCTAGCTGAAGCAATCCTCCCACCTCAGCCTCCCAAATAGCTGGGACCACAGGTACATGCCACTGCTCTCAGCTAATATTTTTATTTATTTTTTCATAGAGATGGGGTCGCACCATGCTGTCCAGGCTGGTCACAAACTCCTAGGCTCAACAATTCACCCGCCTTGATCTCCCAAAAAGTGCTGGGATTATAGGTGTGAGCTACCATGCCTGGCCGAGAATTAACACTTAGATCAAAAAGATTATAATATGGTTAAGGAAATCAAATGAGTAACTGAAAAGAGTGAAAAATATAATATGTCAATTAAATAAGAATCGTTATTGTTGTTGTTGTTGTTGTTATTATTATTATTATTATTATTATTATTTTAGAGATGGGTCTCACTGTGTTGCCCCAGCTGGTCTTGAACTCCTGGCCTCCTCAAGCAATCCTCCCATCTTAGCCACCCAAAATGCTGAGATTACAGGTGTGAGCCACTACCCCTGGCATAAATATTATTTGTAAAGATACCACACACAATATAAGCATGATTAATTACCAAATTTGGAGTAAGGGCAACAAGCGCATTTGAATTTGTGGAGTGAGTCTGCTGGGGGCTGGAGAGAGCTGAGAATGGCTTATGAGGAAGACTTTCTCCGCATTTAAAGAAAGAATTCAGACAGCTCTTCTAGGATTTATTTAATAGAATGAAATTATAAAGTGTTAATAAGTATTTGCTAACAAATAAATGCTTAAGAAACATGCTTTTAAAGTAAAACACAAGATGCCTTCCATTCTGGAGTGTTATACTGCAATGTGGATTGTGGTGTGAGTTAAACATGACAGTTTATCATAAAATAAAGCATTTTACAAGAATGACAAGTAGGGGGGAAACATACATGCCCGAAAAATGCCCGAAAACATACATGCCCGAAAATGTTAATCAATCTATCTTTTGGCCTTAAATTAGGAAGCTTAAGTCATACCGTTTGAAGGCTATTACAGAAACAAGACCAAAGCATCAACAAAGCACACTCTTCTCACAACCCACGATGAACATCTCCTACTTAAAGGAAGCAGATCACCGTGTGACTTTGTTCTCTGTGCCAACCTAGCCGAAAAAGATGGAACTTCTACTCTAAAAGAAATCTAGCCAATATTCGATTATGCGATCTGATGGTACAGAAAAAAGGAAAGCTTGGATTTATGGATTTGTCAATTTTAACTTCTGACCAAATCTTATACAAGAGCTCTTTTCTAAATAAATCAATTTTAAAGAGATTCCAAATTCATCTTCCTCTCTTTTCTTATGTACCTCAGTTTGAGGTACTCTTTTTTTTTTTTTCCCCTGAGATGGAGTCTCGCTTTGTCATCCAGGCTGGAGCACAGTGACATGATCTCAGCACCACAACCTCCGCCTCCTGGGTTCAAGCAATTCTCGTGCCTCAGCCTCCCAAGTAGCTGGGACTACAGGTGTGCGCCAATACACCCAGCTAATTTTTGTTTTTTTTTTAGTAAAGACAGGGTTTCACCATATTGGCCAGGCTAGTCTTGAACTCCTGACCTCAAGTGATCCACCCACCTCGGCCTCCCAAGGTACTGGGATTACAGGCATGAGCCACTTCGCCCAGCCGAAGTACTCTTAAATATGCAAAAGATGGACGCTGAAGAGAAAGAGGAAGTAGGCACTGATAATCCAAATACATATTCCAGTCAATCACATTAGCCACACTAAATATTTCTTTTTAAAATTCTTCATGGCCAGCCAAAGAAGAGAAGCTACATTTAATCTTATGGTGGGTATGGGGGAGGTCAAACTAAGATTTTCCCTAGTGATTATTTAGCAACCCTGGAGGACTCTGTAACAATACACTTTCACTGACAAAGCATCCTTGGACATGTATATGAAACGTCTTCTATACATTTACTGTTAGTGATTAATGTTTGCTGGATATTAAACTGGCAATGCCAACTAAGGAGAAAGACTGAATTACAAGCCTTTGGAGCACTTGCTATTTAAAATGGGTAAAGCAGCACAAGTATCACTACAGCAGTATTATTTCACTTTCATATATTTTTTGAAAGATGAGTAAAAATACAACTATGACAACAGTTACCATGGAAGCTTCTTGGTAACTGCCTTCCTGAATAGTAACATTTAATGTGGTGCATTAATCTAGTAGCTGAGGTGTGATTCACCTTGTTCTTTTTCCTCGTCAATTCCTACATCACCAAACTGCACAACTCCAAGGAACACTTCTCTCTCTGCTAACACTTGTGTCATAAAGCAAGAACATATTTTGTCTTTCTAGCCAGAATTATTGAACACCCACTAAATAATTTAAATAAAAGAATGGAAATAAAATATAAGTTTTGGAAAGCAAGACACCAAGCACCATGCTTAGTGTCTGTGACTCATTACATGGCAGTTTTTTAAATTTGCTTATATAATGTGAATACTATTCTAAAAGAAAAAAAAAGCCTCATGTGAGGCAACCCTCCTTAAGGAGTCCTACTTCCCTAGTCTGCCTACTCTGGTCCTTGGAATTTTGACTATAACAATCCAGTGGACTCATGTCAATGCAAATATCAATCCAAGGCAATAGAAGGTTCTTTAACTTGAGTCTTTATGATGACTACACAAGGATTCGTTAAGAATGAGAAATTCTGAAATACAAAATGAAAATTATGGTACAGTAATTATACAGTTCATTTTAGCATTGTTCTACCTAGCAAACCATAAATGATATAGAGTAGATTCAAATATTAACCTCCAATTCTCCCTCACTAATAAATTACTGAAAACATGTAATCAAAGAAGGCTGAGCAGACCTGTCCAGGCCAGAGCTCTCTTCTCCTGAAATACCTCGATTCACTGATCCTTGTTGATAGGTTTCATACTGTTTCTACCCAGTGATTTATGTTGGGATCTCTATACCAGAGCTGATATTTCCATTTGCAGAATTTTTCAGGCTCTGCTTATGAGACTGCTCAAAGTTCATGTTAAATATACAGCTGTTTGACAATGATATTCCTAAGTGGTCTTTGCTTTCCTTGACTACCCTCAGCAAGTTGCACATTACTGGGGCAGAGATCCCTTTTATCTACAGAGAACTACAGCTACAGATTAGGAAAAGTTCAGTGTTCTCTGGTCCTCAGCCATGTCTGGCTCTGTCCTTTGCACTGAATTCTGACCTCATCTACGACTATGGATGGGTTGTATTCTACCCCTTTGGATGAAAAGAGTAACTTTCACATTGGGAGTCATGCCAAAAATGGATTTCTCCATTTTACAAAAATGCAGGTGCCAGTAGACTTCCTAAGTAACATGATTAAGGCCTGTTCCTCAACATAGAGGCCCACAACTGTCCTGTTTCACAATTTTACTCAAAACAAATGTGTACTACACATACTTTACCCAAAGCTAGATGTAGAAAAGCTAATATTGATACGTGACCTCATGTTCTCTAATATCGAACTTCCACAGAGCTCTGGAAACGATCAACCACTCAACCTGTATTTGCACAATTTTTAAAACTAACATTTAGAATACTGACCACTATGCAGAATCTCCTATTTTCATACGCAAATGATAGGTCTCACCACGTCCATGTAATGTTTTAGGCCTATTAAAACTCCATTTTTTTTTCTAAATGTGAACCTAGAAAATTAGATGGAGCCTTGAAGACATATAGAAATAAAAATAGAATATGTCTATTATGTATCTGAGGAATATATCTATTTCCTCAGATTATATATTACCTTGTTGGCTTCTACATCATACATGAAATCATTTACTCATTAAGCAAATAATCACGTGTGTCTACCACATTTCAAGCAGAAGCCCTGGCCTTCCAGGGTTTACATTTTAGGGTGTGTGTTTTGTGGGGGATGGCTAATACAACCAACAATATAAAGTAAGTTAGATAGTGATGAGTGATATAGGTAAAAAGATTAAAGTAGACAAGAGTCAAAATAAGTTAGGGAGTTTTTAGAAGAAAGAGGTGATAGTTTTAAATAGGATGGTCAAAGAAGGAGTCTTTGAAAAGCTGATATTTGAGCAAAGACTAGGTGAAGGTGCAAGTCATGTAAATACCTAAGGAAAGAGAATCCCAGACAGAGGGAACAGCTAGTTGTAGAAGCCCCGAGGCAGGGGCACACTTGGTGTATTCAAAGAATAGCAATAAAAAGGCCAGTGTGGGTCAAGTGGAGGGAGACTAGAGGAGTTGTGCAGGCAATAGTCACAGAACCAATGAGGCGTCAATTGTGTAGCACCTTGTGGGCCACTGTATGAACTCTGCCTTTTATTCTGAATGAAATAGTAATTTGCTGAGAATTTTGAGTGAGGAATGATATGATCAGGTTTCCATTTTTTAAAATTCACTGGAAGCTATTGTGCGGACTATGCACTAAAGTGGTCAGAGGGCAAGGGAGAAGCAGAGTAGCCTTAAGAGACTTTTGCAAAATAATCCAGGTAGGAGGTGATAGGGGTTTGACTTGGGAAATAACAATAGAGTTGATGAGACTTGGTCAGATTCTGGGAAGATAGTGAAGGCAAAGTCAATAGGACTCACTTACAGAGTAGACATGGATTATAATGAAATAGAGGAGACAAGAAAACTCTAAAATGTCTGGCCTGAGTAACCAAAAGGAGCAAGCAATTTATTAAGATGGGGAAAATTGCAGGAGAAGGAGGTGGTGGTAGGAATTCAGGACTCTGAATCTAAGTTTGATATGCACATTACATACCCAAGTGGAGTTGTGAATAGGCAGTTAGATATAAAGAATAAATCCTTTAAACTATGGTATGGTTTGGACCTGTACCCCACCCAAATCTCATGTTCAATTGTAATCCCCAATGTTGGAGGTGGGGTCTAGTAGGAGGTGATCATGAGGATTTGATCAAGAGGACGGTTTCTCATGGTTTTAACACCATCCCCCTTGGAGCTGTCATCGCAGTAGTGAGTTGTCATGAGATTTGGTTGTTTAAAAGTGTGTGGCACCTCGTCCCATCTCTCTTCCTCCTGTTCTGGCCATGTGAATGACTGCTCCCACTTTGCTTTCCACCACGGGTAAAAGCTCCCTGAGGCTTCCCCAGAAGCAGATGCTGTCATGGTTCCTGTACAGCCTACAGAACCATGAGCCAATTAAACCTCTTTTCTTTATCAATTAACAGTCTCAGGTATTTTTTTATTGCAATGTGAGAATGGACTAATACAGAAAATTGGTACCAAGAGTGAGGTATTGCTATAAAGATACCTGAAAATGTGGAAGCAGCCATGGAACTGGGTAACAGGCAGAGGCTGGAAGAGTTTGGAGGGCTCAGAAGAAGACAGAAGATGGGGGAACATTTGGAACTTCCTAGAGACTAGTTGAATGGTTATGACCAAAGTGCTCATAGTGACATGAACAGAGATGGCCAGCCTGATGAGGTCTCAGATGGAGAAGAGGAACTTATTGGGAACTATAGCAAAGGTCACTTTTATTATACTTTGGCTGGACTGTGCCCCTGCCTTGGGGATCCATGGAACTTTGAACTTGAGAGAGATGATTTAGGATATCTAGTAGAAGAAATTTCTAAGCAGTGGTGTTCAAGATGTGGCTGCTTCAAACAACTTATGCTCATATGCATGAGTCAAGAAATGAACTGAAACTAGAACTTATGTTTAAAAGGGAGGCAGAACATAAAAGTTTGGAAAATTTGCAGCCTGGCCATGTGGTGAAAAACGAAAAGCCCATTTTCAGGAGAAAAATTCAAGGGGATTGCAGAAATTTGCATAAGGAAAAAGGAGTCAAGTGCTGATAGCCAAGACAATGGGAAAAAAGCCTTCAAGGCATTTTAGAGACTCTCACAGCAGACCATCACAGGCCCAGAGGCCTAGGAGGGAAGAATTGAATTGTTTCACTGGCCAAGCCCAGGGCACTGCAGTCTGCCTCAGGACACTGCTCCCTGCTTCCCAGGCACTCTAGCTCCGGCCAGTCATGGTTAAAAGAGGCCCAGGTACAGCTCAGGCTGCTGCTTCAGAGGGTGCAAGCCATGAAACTTGGCAGCTTCCATGTAGCATTAAGCCTGCCGGTGCACAGAATATAAGAGTTGAGGCTTGGGAACCTCTGCCTGGACTTCAAGGGGATATATGGAAAAGCCTGGATGTGCAAGCAGAAGCCTGCTTCAGGGGCGGAGCCCTCATGGAGAACCTCTAGTAGGGAAGTGCAGAGGGGAAATGTCAGGTTGAGCCCCCACACAGAGTCCCCACTGGGGTACTGCCTAGTTGAGCTGTGAGAAGGGGTCACCATCCTGAAGACCTCAAAATGGTACATCCACCAGCAGCTTGCACCCTGTGCCTGTAAAAGCCACAGGCACTCAATGCCAGCCCTTAAGAGCAGCCTTGGGGGCTGAACTCTGCAAAGCCACAGGGGCAGGGCTGCCAAGGCCTTGGGAGCCACACCTCACAACAGTGTGCCCTGGATGGGAGACATGCAGTCAAAGATTATTTTGTAACTTTAAGGTTTAATGACTGCTCAGGTGGGTTTCAGACTTGCATGGGGCCTATAAGCCCCTTTCTTTTCGCTGATTTCTCCCTTTTGGAATGGGAGTATTTACCAAATGCCTGTACCTCTATTGTAATTTGGAAGTAACTATCTTGGTTTTGATTTTATAGGTGCATAGGCAGAAGGGACTAGCGTTATCTCAGAAAAGACTTTGGACTTCTGAGTTAATGCTGGAATGAGTTAAGATTCTGGGGGACTGTTCAGAAGGCATGACTGGATTTTGCAATATGAAAAGGACACGAGATTTGGGAGGGGCCAGGGTGGAATTTTATGATTTGGATCTGTGTCCCCACCCAAATCTCATGTTCATTTATAATACCCAGTGTTGGAGGTGTGGACTGTTGGGAGGTGATTTGATCACGCAAGCGGTTTTCCATGGTTTAACAATATTCCCACTGGAGTTGTTGTTACAACAGTGAGTTCTCATGAGAGCTGGTTGTTTAAGAGTGTGTCACACTTTCCCCCCATCTCGGTCCTACTCCTGCCATGTAAGACACCTTGCTCCCACTTTGCCTTCCACCATGAGTAAAAGTTTCCTGAGGCCTCCCCAGAAGCAGATGCTGCCATGCCTCCTGTATAGCCTGCAGAGCCATCCCCCTTGGAGCTGGCATCGCAGTAGTGAGCTGTCATGAGATTTAGTTGTTTAAAAGTGTGGAGAGCCATAAGCCAATTAAACCTCTTCTTTACACATTACCCAGTCTCAGGTATTTCTTTATAGCGATTTGAGAACAGACTAATACACTAATTAAAGATATATCCTTTAATGTTTACTGAGTGAATAAATTTCGTAGTAATGGACAAGTGAGTAAATGAGAGACATATGAATGAGTAAATAAGGGCATATTAGGGATAAAAAAATCCTAGTAAATGAATAAAGGAGGGTATATAATTCTGTGGATAACTTACTGTCTGATAGAGCTAGAGTTTAAATGAGAAACCTAAGATAACAGAGAAAAAATTATAGAAGTCAATTGTAAAGCAACATACTAATCGGGTTTTAAAATCAACATTTTTAATTAGGACAGTGTCACTTTGAAAACCAAGAGATATTATGCACTATAAACTTCCCAAAAAGAATTCAAGTCCAAGAGCATCACTTTCTTATGTCTTGCACATACATGTTAAAATTTCAAAAGAATGATCAGCAAATGAAGACACAGCTCTCTAACAAACCACATGGATCACATGCATGAATGTATATATATTAAACATTCCTAAGAAACAACATAATGTTTATCTTTGATTTTCCGAAAGTTCACTTCCATGTTCTGGAAGTCATGATATCTCTACTGCTTCTAATATTTCAAACATGTCACTACTTTTAGGCATACATCATCATATACATTGTCATATACAATATCTCATTTTAGGAATTTTTAAAGGCATAAACTTATTTATTTTTATTTACTAACTATATCTCCCATCTTAGAGACCTCATTTTAAGTCACAGAAATTAAGATATATCCCACATCCTACTAAATAATGTAGGTTTCTCAAAATCTCTTACCAATTTCATAATTAAAGTTTATATTGTGAAATTCAGGAACAAAAAGATTCTGAAGCATTATATAAATCACTTCATTCCTACATCTGTTCTCCGAGCTGCTACTTAAGTCACCAAATGACAGCAAGAAGACTTTTCTTGAATTTTTAAAAAAATTCACAGTGCTTCAAAATTTTGTAATAGTGCCAAAGAATAAAAAACAAACAGAGCAATTTTTACAATTTTATATTATTTCAATTACGGTTATTTCAGATGATGTTTTTAATTACCTGAAATAAGCAAATAACTATATCTGGGCAATATTTAATTAGCCATAATTAGAGAAAACATAATGCTATTAATACTTGATTAAGAGCTCAAAATAAAAGCTACTTACAGTACATTAATTTTTTTCCAAAAGTAGAGGACTATAATAAATTTAACACTTTTATCTTGGCAAAAAGAAAATTTTATAATCCATTTAAATGAAGACTTCAAGCAAACTCTTTTTTTTCTGCTTCCTATTCCAGTGAATACTAAATTAGCCAATTTCCCACAAAATAAAAATTATAGAATCTGCAAGAACGTAGGCCAGATGCAGTGGCTCACACCTGTAATCTCAATTCTTCGGGAGGCTGAGGCCAGAGGATGAATTAAGGCAAGGAGTTTGAGGCCAGGCTGGTCAACGCAGTAAGACCTTTTCTGTACAAACAGTAGAAAAAAATAGCCAGGCATGGTGGTGTGAGCCTACAGTCCTAGCTACGCAAGAGGCTGAGGATTGCTTAAGCCCAAAAGTTTGAGGCTACGGCGAGCAACGATCACACCACTGCACTCCAGCCTGAGTAAAAGAGCAAAAACCCATCTCTAAGAAAAACAAAGAAAGAAAATGTTGTAGTACTTAGGGCAGAAAAAAACTAAGCTGGCTGGTTCACTGAGCAACTAGATGCAATGTAGGAAACAGTGCTGAGTGACAGAAAGATAACAGTTGCCATATTCCTAACTGATAAGTTTACAAGTTCTACTGCAGGGTTTCTCTACCTCAGCACTATTGACCTGTTAGGCTAGATACTTCTTTGATTTTAGGGGACTGTCCTGTGCCCTGTGGTACATTTGGCAGCATCACTAGCCTCCACCCACTAGATTCCAGTAGCCTCCCCCGCCCAGTTCTGACAACCAAAAATATCTCCAGACACTGCCAAATGTCCTATGGGGGAGTGTTGGCAGCGGGGAGCAAACTGGTTGAGAACCCCTACTCTCTATGTACAGAAGATGTATGTATAGCTTCCTCTAGATGTGTTGCCTCAACACAAAATTCAACTTTTGTTTCTTTTTATTATTATTATTATTTTTTTTTTTGAGACAGTCTCACTCTGTCACCCAGGCTGGAGAGCAGTGGTGCGTTCTCGGCTCACTGCAACCTCCGCCTCCTGGGTTCAAGTGATTATCCTGCCTCAGCCTCCCAAGTAGCTGAGACTACAGGCACGTGCCACCACGCCCGGCTAATTTTTGTATTTTTAATAGAGACGGGGTTTTGCCATGTTGGCCAGGCTGGTCTCAAACTCCTGACCTCAGGTGATCCACCCGTCTCGCCCTCCCAAAGTGCTGGGATTACAGGCGTCAGCCACCATGCCCAGTCAAAATTCAACTTTATTTTCAAAGCTTATTTTCAGCTGTCACCAAGGCCCTTGAAACAAAACAGCAAGAAGTAACTGATGCAAACAAAAATGGGAAGTTTCGTTCTTTCAACAGTTAAATATAATCCAACTGAAAAGAACTAGATTTTTAAAAATATATAGCCATACAAGCCTTCCCCCCAAATTAAACTACAGGTTTAAATCTGTCAAATGAGCTCATATGTATCCTTCAAAAAATAATAACAGAAGAAATATTGCAACTATCTACAGAGTCCAGAAATTTGATCTTCGAAAAAGCTGCTTAATATTGCTTTCTTTCTCCCAAAGTGGCAGCTTCATATTGTCTTTTGAAATGTCATTTGATGACTCAAAAGAAAACAACTATAATTTAGACAGCAAGCAATGAGAGGGAATAGGTCTCTATGTAGCCTCTGAAAGAAATTACTAAGCTGTTTTTCCACAATTCACGTAATACAGTCTCTCCATGGGTGAAACCCCGAGGTCTCTACATACCATTTACCTGGTGAAGGCTCCCACATTTCCATCTCATCCTGACCTGCCCCTGATCCCGGGGACAACGAGGTCATTAACATATGCACACAGATGACCAACAGTCCTCCTGAGCTGAACAGGCTCAGTTTCCTGTCAGCCTCCTAAACCTTCCTTTTCGGCCCCACATTGGGACATAGCAGCACTATTCCCCAGGACAAAGAATAGTAGTCATTTTTGACTGCTGGATTATTTCCTGCTGCTACCCTAACAAATTTCCCTGGATGTCAGGGCTTAAAACAACATAAATTATCATCTTACACTTCTGGAGGTCAAAAGTCCAAAATCAAAGTCTAAAGTTTAAAGTTAAGGTGTTGGCAGGGCTGGCTCCATCTGGAGGTTCTAGGGAAGAGCCTGTTTCCTAATCTTTTCCACCTTCTAAAGGCTGTCTGTATTCCTTGGCTTGTGGGCCCCTCCTCGCATCACTCAAACCTCTGTTTCCAACATTACATCTCCTTCTCTCTGACTGTATCAGGGCCCTTGTGATTACACTGGGCCCACCCAGATAATCCAGGATATACTCCCATCTCAGTAGCCTCAATTTAGTCATATCTACAAAGTGTCTTCTGCCATGCAAGAGAACATATTCACAGGTGTTGGAGATTAGGATGTGGACATCTTTAGGGGAATCTGTCTACTATAACTCCTCTCCTCTTCTAGCCTACAATAATCCAAAATGTATCCCAAATCTACTTGCATCCCTGCAATTCCTCTGCTCATCACCCAGTGCAGTCCACACCATCACTGCCTGGACAAATGTAAACCCCTCCCAACTGGTATCCCTGCAGCCACTCTTGCCCCATCCAGTCCGTCTTCCAGAGAGCTGCCATAATGATCTTATTAAAATATAAATCAGGTAATGTTATTTCCTTGTTTAAAACCCATCAGTGGCTTCCTGATGAAACCACAACAAAATCTGTATAGACTCTTCCTCCTCTGGCCCCTTCTTAACTTTAAAAAAAAATAACAGAGCAGGAAATATGCAATTTTTCCTTCACAAAATGTCTCTCCATCCCTCACCATCAACCTTCTGAGGCTTTGTATGCCAAGCAGGAGCTCCCGGCAAATCCTTAAATGGGGGTACTTGGGTTCCAGCTGTTCTTGCTGAGTCTCCAAGTTTACTTTTCTCCCCAGGGGCAGAAGACAACAACTGAACACAGAATTCTAACCCTAAGTCCCGCTGCTCCAAGTCCTTTTCAAATGTAAAATGACCACAGCAAATTCAAAATAAGTAAGGAAGAAAAATCGAAGTGGTAGGGCGAAAAGGGGAAGAACACCATAGTGTGATACAGTCTTTGCCTTTCAGAGCAGGCAGACAAAAGATAGTACTTAGGTTGAAGGATCTAAAAATAGGGTAGAGATAAATTATTTAACGTTGTGAGAACTAAAAACAGAAATGTAACAGCCTTTGGGGCGTGCTGGGAGAGAAATTTTCACTTTTCATATTATATTTTTATGAACTCTGAATTCTTAGACCATGTAAGTAAATATACCAGAGTAACCACCAATTTTATATGACATATTTATACTAACTTTACAGGTGTAAGTGTGCATGTGTATGCAAATTGGTCATCAGTTTTTCACCTCCAGTAACATTCCTTTGCTCTAGGCTCCCAGCACTCCTGTTTAGAATTCCCAGACCAGAGACTGTCTGTTTCTGGACTTCCTGGCGGCAAATCAGGACTTTCTGGACTTCCTAGTGATAAATCGAGGCAGTGTGATCCCCCCAACAGCCTCTCTGCTGACCACTGTTCCTTAGCCCCTCTCCTCTGCTTCTATTTTGCAAAAGCTCTTTTGTCCCTGAATCATCTCACACCAGCCACTCCTGAAGGCAGCTACTCTTTTCATTTTCAAGCAATAAATGTCCTCACTTCATAATTCCTACTCTCCATCTAACATGCCCAAATCTCAGGAGGCAGCTTGTCCACAAATGCAACCATGATTTGGAATAACAAACAATCCCTAATTCAATGGCCCATACCCTCATTTCATGTCCTCTAATAAATACCCAAATGCCTTTTACTGGAGGATATTTCAAAGAATTTTAGAGCCATAAGGGATTCTAGAGAACAAACGCATCCAGATCAAAATCACCTGAGACTTATAAAAATGCAAACCACCAGACCCCATACAGACCTACAAACTCAAAATCTTTTCAACAACTTCCCCAAGTGGTTCCAACTCACACTAAAGTTTGAGATTCCCAAATCTAACCCAACCTCCTTATTTTTAAAATTAGGAAATTTAAATCTAGATATAAGTGTCTTACCCAAAACTGGCTATCTATTGCACAGCCAGTCAATTATTCTACTCATAGTCTGGTCTCCCTTTTAAAGAAACTTATGAGATAAAATATGCAAAAACAGATAGAAGGAAACTACTTCAAGCCAGACGCGATGGGTCACGCCTGTAATCACGCACTTCGGGAGGCCAAGGCAGGTGGGTCACTTGAGGTCAGGAGTTCAAGACCAGCCTGACCAACATGGTGAAACCCCATCTCTTCTAAAAATACAAAAATTAGCCAGGTGTGGTGGTGGGGGCCTGTCATCCCAGCTACTCAGGAGGTTGAGGCAGGAGAATCACTTAAACCGAGGAGGCGATGTTGCAGTGAGCCAAGATCACTCCACTGCACTCCAGCCTGGGCAACAGAGGGAGACTCCATCTCAAAAAAAAAAAAAAAAAGAAGAAGAAAAAGAATGAAAGAAATTAAAGACACAAACAAATGGGAAAACATTCACAAGGGAAAGGATGGTCTTTTCAACAAATGGTGTTGTGAAAACTAGACATCCACATGCAAAAAATTAAAATAAAGTTGGTTCCTAACCTACACCATTTAAAAATTAACTCAAAATGGACCTAAGTCCTAAACATAAGAGCTAAAGTGACTAAACTCAGCAGGAAACAGAGGGGAAAACCTTCATAACATAGGATTTGGCAATGATTTCTTGAATATAACACCAAATGCACAGGCAACAAAATAAATAACAGATAAATCGGACTGCATCAAAATTTAAAACTTTTGTGCATCAAAGGACTCTATCCACAGAATGAAAAGCCAACCCATAGAATGGGAGAAAATATTTGTAAATCATGTATCTGGTAAGGGATTGATATCCAGAGTACATAAAGAACTCCTACAACTCAGCAGCAACAACCAAAAAAAACACAAACAACTAGATTAGAAAATGAGCGAAGAATTGAAAGATACTTCTCCAAATAAAATGTAAAAATGGCCAATAAACACATGAAAAGATGTTCAACATCACTAATCATTAGGGAAATGCAACCAAACCACAAAGATACCACTTCATACTCATTAGAGTGGCTAATATTTTTTAAAAAATAAATAACAGAAAATAACCAGTGCTGGTAAGGATGTGGAGAATTGGAACCCTTGTGCACCATCAGTGAGATTATAAAATGGTGCAACCATCATGGAAAATGCTATGGAGGTTCCTCCAAAAATTAAAAATAGAATTATAAGCGCCCAACTTTTTATATCTCATTAGTTTTTCTAGGGCATGTGTTTAAATACACAAACATAAAGAGCACTTCCTGCCAACCAACTATAACAACTAACAGTAGCCTAATTTTCTTCAGTGACCACATTATGATTGGAGGTGGGAAAAAAAAAAAAAAAGTCATTCTGAGTAGATGGGAAATCCCTGGAGGTTGAGCCAAGAGTGAAATGATCCAATCAGAATTTAAAAAGGATCATTCTGCCTGATATGTGTGAAACAGAGGAGAACCAGAGTGATAGGAGAGGGACAAAATCAGGGAGAAGAGAAGAAGATACTCTAATGGTGCATGTGAGAGATAGTGGGTTAGACCAGGTTGGCAGCAAAGAAGAAGTGGCTGGATCTCTGGATAGTTTTTTAAGGGAACACAAAACTTGATGGCTTGGCATGATGCTTGAGAGGAAGAGAAGGCAAAAGGTTTTTGGCCTAAGCAACTGGAAGGTGATGTTCCATTTAACCAGATGGGAAGGATTTGGGAGGGACGGGCTAGGGTAGATGATAGTACAATCAAGAGTTCCATTTTGGGTATGTTAAGCTTGAGTTGCCTATAAGACATCCAAGTGGAGATATAGGTTAAATAGTTGGATATGTAGGTCTGTGTATCAAGGAAGAGATTATGCTTTCTGTGAAAGAACAAAGATTCTCAAACGATTACATCACAAACAAGTGTTTCATACAAGTAAGTTAATAAATGTTTAACACATTACGGTGTGAAAATATAAGGGAAGTCCAAGAACTCTGAAAAACTAAATGGAAAAACAAATTTAAGATCTGATGGCAGACAAGATAATTCATAAATATACTATTTGGGTAACAATCCTAAAATGCATTAGTAGGTCTTAAAAGGATTAACATCCCAAATAAAAGAATAAATAAGGATATAGTTATAGTTAATCAGAAGGGTAAAGAATAATAATTAACCATTTCCAAAAACTGTTTAACAAACCACTGCAAAGCCAAAAGTAATAAGACGGCATCATCTCAGTATCACACTGGTTCTGAAGGGAACAAGTGACAGTACTTATGCAGCCCAACGGTGATAAATGCTTCTAACTACAGTCTAAACGTTCTGCAGAGATGAAACTCCATTACATTACACAGGGCTGTCCACAGTAATTACCAAGTTTACTAACTCTCATAATTTTAGCCATAATTTATAAGAAGAGGGGAATCAGTGTATTAACTCTTCTTGGTTAAGACTGTTAAGACGCAAAAACCAAAATCTTATCTCCTTGTCATAACATATTCAATTGTCCTAGTGTCCAAATAAAAACAGAATTTATGTCTGATATTTCTACCCTGTTAAATTTCTTCTGGGTTGGGAGGTCTATGTCCTATTCTATTTGTCATGGTTTTATAATTGTTCCATTTCATTCCAAAGCCAGAAAACTACCAAAGGCAGATGAAAGTATTTCTTAGGTTTGGTTTCGTTTGGTGAGTTGGGGAAAAGAGAGGAGGTGGGTGGATGTCTAATTGGAATACATCTTGGGGAAATTATCATCTGAACGTGTGCTATTTATAGTATGAGTATTTGGGGCCATACCATACCCATCCTGACAATTAGCTCCAAGAAGCAAATGGTTCACCTTGACAACCCACTAAAATGCCTAATATCCAAGCCTGACTTAGAGTGCCCTGATTATAGGCAAAGGTTTATGGAAAACTTCTTTACACCCCTACAGTACAACTGCCTCAATGTGGTCCAGGGCTTGCAGCCTCTGAGACATCATGTGCATCCCAATGTAGTCTCTCCTTCTTAGGTGTTCACTTACGTCTGAGGTAGACCAATCAAGCTCATCTGCAGCCATACAACCAGAAAGACCCTGAGAATCACCCCTCGCCACAACTGTCTCACAATTACCCTTAAATCTCCTTTCTTTTTTAATGAAAGAAATACATTATTCATGAAAGAGCAGTTCACAACTTGGATTCCCTAAGCCTCTGGTCAGTCATTAATTGGTAACATTTCCCATGTACCTCCTGTATGCCAGGCACTGTGCGATTGATAAGGAAGCTGGGGCTTAGAGGGGCTAAGTAACTTGTCCAGTTCCAGATAGTTGGTAACAGCTGATCTGTCAGACCTCCAGAAACTTGACCTCCAACCATTCTTCCTCCAGAAGAGAGAAGTCAAAGGAATTTCTGACATTCTATACAGCCTAGCAGCACAATCATATTTATCCTGCAAATAAATGGCTACACTGGATCGTTAAAATGCCAATTTCCTTGCTTTGCACCAAAATATGATGTCAGTGTAGAAACACTGGCTATACTGCATTTCACATGCTGACAAAAAGTTTAAATTTGGTGTATATCATTTCCTTAATTAGTAAAAAATAAAGGGTATATTAACCAGTTATAATTAAATTCAGTTTATTTTGAAGACCTACTTCTTCAAGCAGCATACTTCTGTATTAGAAAATATTTTTCAAAACAAAAAGAAAATCTACTTCTAGAATGGTACGAATGTCTGACATATTATTTGGAAACACCAAACATAACCACTTTGTTCCATATACAAGAAAGAAGGAAAAACTGCTAGAGGAAAGTGAAAATTAAAGAAGGAAAGGTAAGCAGATAAGCAAAATATTCTAAAAATGCTAGTAGTTTAAACAAGGTTATTTATCTGGAGTACTCATTTAGGGAAGGAAAAAAAAAGATGAGAAAACCAGCTGGTCATAGAGGAAGGCCAAGTGAGGTGTGTACACATGCATATAGTTCAGCTGCAGTTAGTTCACAGGTCTTTATCATCAAGAAGAAAGCTGTCTACAAAGGACAGAAACTTCCCTATTCAACCCACAGATGTGTGAAAAAAGAAACAAGAGACTGGAAGTCTATAAACCACAGTCCTGGTCGTTTTGGTCACGCTAATAATTCTTAAGACCTCTAGCAAACTGACCTGACTTGTTTGGGCTTTTGACTCATTCTCTGGTTGCATTTCCTCATCCAGAACACAGAAATAATAATCATCTTGGCAGTTATGCTGCAAGGACCATGTGAGATTATAGATATGAAAGTGCCTCAATAAAACCATTCAGGTTCCATAGAAAGGCAATATATTATATTTATTACCAATGCATTGGAGAGTTGAGCTAAAGTTGATTTCATGCATTCTACTTACCTGAAAACATAAAAAGCAAGGATAAACATGGGGAGAGAGGACTCTCTTAAGCATTGATTGATTCACATTGTTAATGGAGCCCATCTGCAATACAGCTATTATAGTATATGGTATTAGCAGGCCTGCTTACAATTAAAAGACAGCACAAAGCACCCGACTAAGTGATTCAGACTACAACTTGATGCAGTAAATTATTAAATAACCACACTAAGGGAAAGGAGGTTCTAAAACAGGCACTGGAATTCAACAGATACTCAAAAACCTCTATCTCCATGACTCTGGAATGTTCTTTATGATGTCTCTAGCTGTGCTTGGATTTGACTACTTCTAAATTTAATCTTTAGCCCCACTGAGGGCAAAAAGAAGTGGTCCAGGAATACGTGACTACCTTGTTCTCACTACCATCTAAGATTTTTTTTTTAATGTGGCAGGATGACTCCCTCACTGTCATGCAGATAAGCAAAAGTGAGTGTGCCCAGCTATATAATTACAGATCAAAGCTCAAGAGCAACATAGTCACTGGTCCAAGGTTTACATGATTGGCTCTGTGCCTGCATGCAAATATCATGTTGAATTGTAATCTCCAGTGTTGAGGGAGGGACCTGGTGGGAAGTGACTGGATCATGGGGACGGATTTCCCACATCCTGCTCTCATAGTCACCAGTCCAGGGTTGATATGATTTGGCTCTATGTCCCTACGCAAATCTCATGTTGAATTGTAATCCCCAGTTTTAGAGGAGGGTCCTGGTGGGAGGTGATTGGATCTCGGGGGTGGATTTCCCTCATGCTGTTCTCATGAGAGTGAGTGAGTTCTCATGAGAGCTGATGGTTTAAGTGTGTGGCACTTCCCCCCTTGCTTGCTCTCTCTCTCCTGCTCCACCATGGTAAGGTGTGCATGCTTCCCCTTTGCCTTCTGCCATGATAAGTTTCCTAAGACCTCCCAGTCATACTTCCTGTATAGCTTACGGAACTGTGAGTCAATTAAACTTCTTTTCTTCATAAATTACCTAGTCTCAGGTAGTTCTTTATAGCAGTGTGAGAACGAACTAATACAGAAAATTGGTACCAGGAGTGGAACATTGTTATAAAGAAACCGGAAAATGTGGAAGCGCCTTTGGAACTGGGTAACAGGCGGAGGTTGGAACAGTTTGGAGGGCTCAGAAGAAGACAGGAAAATGTGGGAAAGTCTGGAACTTCATACAGACCTCTCGAATGATTTTAACCAAAATGCTGATAGTGATATGGACAGCAAAGTCCAGGCTGAGGTGATCTGAAATGGAAATGAGGAACTTATTGGGAACTGGAGTAAAGATCACTCTTGCTATGCTTTAGCAAAGAGTCTGGAGGCACTGTGCCCTGCTCCAGAGATCTGTGGAACACTGAAATTGAGAGATGATTTAGGGTATCTTGTGGAAGAAATTTCAAAGCAGCAAAGCATTCAAGATGTGACCTGGCTGCTTCTAAAAGTATGTGCCCATATGCGTGAATGAAGAGATGGGCTGAAACTGGAACTTATATTTAAAAGAGAAGCAGAGCATAAACGTTTGGAAAATTTGCAGCCTGACCATGTGGCAGAAAACACAAACCCATTTTCTCAGGAGAAATTCAAGCCTGCTGCAGAAGCTTGCCTAAGAGGAGGTGAATGAAAATGCCTCCAAGGCATTTCAGAGACCTTCATGGCAGCCCCTCCCATCATAGGTCCAGAGGCCTAGAAGGGAAAAATGGTTTCTTGGGCCAGACCTGGGCCCCATTGCTCTGTGCAGCCTCAGGACATGGTACCCTGCATCCATCTACTCCAGCTCTAGCCATGGCTAGAAAGAGCCAAGGTACAGCTCAAGCTCTTATTTCAGTGGGTCCAAGCCTCAAGCCTTGGTGGCTTCCACGTGGTATTGGGCCCACATGTATGCAGAAGGTAAAAGTCAAGGCTTGAGAACTTCTGCCTAGATTTCAGAGGATGTACGAAACACCTGGCTATCCAGGCAGAAATCTGCTGCAGGGGCAGAGCCCCCATGGAGAACCTCTATGAGGGCAGTGCAGAGGGGAAATGTTTGGTTGGAGCTTCCATACACAGTCCCCACTGGGGCACTGCCTATTGGAGCTGTGAGAAGAGAGTTACTGCCCTCTAGACCTCAGAATGGTAGATCCATCAACAGCTTGCACCATGCACCTAGAAAGGCCACGGGCACTCAATGCCAGCCCATGAAAGCAGCCACAGAGGCTGTACCCTGCAGAGCTATAAAGGCAGAGATGCCCAAGGCTGTGGCAGCCCATCCCCTGCATCAGTGTGCCCTGATGTGAGAAAGGCAATTATTTCAGAGCTTTAAGATTTAGTGACTGTCCTGCTAGGTTTCGGACTTGCATGGAGCCTGTAGCCCCTTTATTTTGGCCAATGTATCCCTTTTGGAATGGGAGCATTTACCCACTGCCTCTACCCTCACTGTATCTTGGAAGTAACTAACTTGTTTTTTATTTTACAGACTCACAGGTAGAAGGGACTTGCCTTGTCTCAGATGAGACTCTGGACTTGAACTTTTCAGTTAACACTGGAATGAGTTAAGACTTTGGGGGAACTGTTGGAAGGTATGATTGGTTTTGAAATGTGAGAAGAACAGGAGATTTGGGATGGGCTAGGGTGGAATGTTATGGTTTGGTTCTGTGTCCCCACCCAAATCTCATGTTGAATTGTAATCCTTAGTGTTGGGGTAGGGACCTGGTGGGAGGTGACTGGATCATGGGGACAGACTGCCCCATGCTGTTCTCATGACAGTGAGTTCTCACGAGGGCTGATGGTTTAAAAGTGTATGGCACTTCTCTCTCTCTCTCTTTCCTGCTATGCCATGGTAAGACTTGCTTGCTTCCCCTTCACCTTCCACCAAGACTTTAAGTTTCCTGAGACCTCCTAGCCATGCTTCCAGTACGACCTGTGGAACTATGTGTTAATTAAACCTCTTTTCTTCATAAATTACCCAGTCTCAGGTAGTTCTTTATAGCAGTGTGAGAATGGACTAATACAAAGGTTCTATTTACACTTTGGTTCACTGGTTTGTTTGAACTTAACTACTCTGTAATTAGTGCCTATCAGCAGAGAAGACTTGTTTGAATTTCCATCCTTTTCATTTCCAAATAAAAGGCTTAGAGAACACTTAGATCTTAAGGTAGATCTTGGTAACAAACATCTTTCACAATACACATGGCTTGAATTTATCAATGTGTAATGTTCCAGATGAGGAAATTAGCCTCTCTATATTCTTTAGCCATACAGGACACCCATATAACAAAACTTTATTTGAAACATTGTGCTAATTCACAGGTTCACATCTGTCCCAGGCTGGGGTGCCCTGTGATGGAGAATGAACCTCTCATGTCACTTATAGAAAGCAAAAGTTTTATTCAAACTGGCCATGAATTAACATGATTGTTTTTAATTTCTCATTATTCTGAGTAAAACATAACTGGATCTAGCCTTTTTATAATAGCATTTCTACCATTAAATTTAATTAAAATCATACTGAATTCATACAAATTCTAAATACAAAGACTCCCTTGTAAAATTGAAAATTCACTCAGTAGATTCTGAATGAATGAATTATATGAATGAATGAGTCTTTCATAAGGTTAAAGGGTGCCCATATCAATTGTGAACTGAATACTTTGTATGAATAAAGCCTTATAATTGTATACATTCTTGAAAGGAATAAAATATTTTCATTTAGAAAACTGATATTCTACAAGCAATTAATTATTCAGATCTTAAAGATGGAGATGACATGATGTTCTGAAGCAGGAATTTAACAGAATTTGGACTTGAAAGTCTAAGAACACATTCCTGATAGATTCGGTTCTTGCCACTGGTCACAGGGGTTTTCTATAACTAGCCCCAGGGTTTGGACAGAAATGAATAGAATCATCCAAAATTATAACCTGCTATGGACTGACCTTTGGGTAAACAGGCCTGGAAAAGTGCTGAAAGGAGAAGGGAACAGCAAATGTGTGGTGTAAGAAGGAAAGCAGCAGTTCTTCTCAAGAGACTTTTACATCCTCTCCCTGGCTCCAAGAGGAAAATTCATCTAGCTGAAATTATGCTTGCTGAATGTGGATAAAGGGAGTCACATGATGAAATAAGTGTTCCATAAAGATTAATCTGTCAGCAGTGGGACTGATGGATTGACAGAGAGAGAGACCAGAGGCGATGACAAGAACACAATGCAGAGAAGAGGGGAGGGATGGAGTCATGGGAGACACGTCAAGACTTAATCAGCGACTATTTATAGGCAGGAGAGGGAGGAGTCAAAGATGACTCCCAAGGTTCACTCTTAGATAGCTGGGAAAACTGAGGGGCATGGCTGAGAAAGATGAGGAAGGCAGGAAGGAGAGCTCTCTTCCTGCATGATTTACCTTCACACAGGGCATCACCATTGGGCAAATGCTCCTGGGTTATTTTTTCTTTTTAATTTTTTTAACTTATTGTAGACACAGGTTCTGGCTAGCTTGCCTGAGTTGCTCTCAAACTCCTAGCCTTAAGTGATCCTCCCACCTCAGCCTCCCAAAATGCCTGGATGACAGGTGTGAGCCACTGCACCTGGCCTCCTGGGTTATTTTTTCACCAACTGTAAAGAGAAGGACAGTGGTCCACCCTGCTAACAAAGCCTGAGAATAAGTGAAGACAGAATGACACTAATAGTTACATAGTTAGCAGGAATGAGTCAACCCGTGAGCAGAAAGCATTATTTAGGGACACATGCTGAAGCAAGACTTTCAACAGCACAGCTCAGCTGTAGGCTGCTGGAAAGCACAGTTAGCAGTTGGACCAAACCAGGATGAAATGTCCAAAAATGGTCTAGACTTTATGGAAGAGAATAATCAAAGACAAGGATCCAAACTCAAATGCCCAAAGGGACCAGAAATGCAGAAGGGTTAGTGTTAGCAACAAAGAATGAGGGCACTGCAGTAAACAGCATGTGTCATCCTATCTAAAGAGGAGCCACATCTTACCTGTAGGTGGGTTACTCCCTAGGTGAATTACTCCCATCCAGGGCCGTAAGCCCAATCTTCTGATTCTTCAAGAGAAATCATCACACCCACCACTCTCTACCATATTATGCCTTTTTATCTTCTGCAAGCACGTGTCAATACCTAAAATCTTCATGTGGTTGTCATTGCTGCTCTGGACATGTTTATGGTCTGTCTCTTCCTACTAGAAGTAAAGCTCGCTGGGGAGCCACATAATTGGCACTCATCTATGCTCAATCAATATGCGCTCATCTCTTGACTTCCTAGGACTTACAGTTTGATATAGAATAAATCCAGACCCCCTTGTGTCTTCACAGTCTTCACAACCTTCCACCTTCACTTCCTGCCACTCCCAATACACCCTACCTCTCTTCAGCATGAGCTCTGCAAAGGGAAGACCTGGATTCAAATCCTGGCTCTCTCTGCCATTTACTAGCTATTTGTCCTTACTGAAGATACTAACTATAAATCTCAACTGCTATGTCTATAAATGCCTATGTCACTGGGTTCTTAGAGGAACTAAGTAGGATATTTAAAAATTGATTACAAATGTTACACTAGGCCAGGCACAGTGGTTTATGCCTGTAATCCCAGAACTTTGGGAGGCCAAAGTGGGCGGATCACCTGAGGTCAGGAGTTCAAGACCAACCTGGCCAACATGGTGAAACCCCATCTCTACTGGAAACGCAAAAATTACCTGGGTGTGGTGGCACACACCTGTAGTCCTAGCTACATGGGAGGCTGAAGTGGGAGAACTGCTTGAACCCGAGAGGCAGAGACTGCAGTGAGCCAAGGTCGTGCCATTGCACTACAGCCTGGGCAACAGAGTGAGACTCTGTCTTTGAAGTTTCCTACACTTGAGTTTCCCCTTCTTGCACTCACCACCCAAATAACCTGCTACTACCCAAGCAAGTCAGGCCTTTGCACCTGGAGCCTCTCCTCTGCCGATTCTGTGGCTCTTCCTTTCTCCACCTTCTGCACAAACTTAACTCCTAATTACTCTTTAGGGCCAGCTCAATTGCTTCTTCCTCTATGAGGTTTTCTTTGACTTCCCTAGGCAACGGTTATTCTCTCCTTTGGATGCCTACAGCCTTCTGTTCCTTCCACTAGTAACTGCACTAACATAAACCACACATCAGCGGCTACCTTGATTCTGACACTCCACCAGTGAGCAAAGGTAGGGACAAAGTGTTAGTCTTCTTCGTTTTCCCCAGAGTCTAGCACAGCGCCTGATTCAAAAGAAGTATTCAATAAATGTCTGCTGAATCAAACAAAACTGAACACCTACTATGTGTAAATCTGATTTACTGGAAACTATTTGAGTAGAAAGACACATCTTGCTCCACCATAAAAATAACAAAAACTACCAGCTCTTGATTATCACAATCACATTAATGATGGGTAGCAGTGAGAGACATTATCTAAGAATTGTTGATACAGGCATTTTTGCTACTTTAGGTAGTGTAAGCATATAGTTAGTGTGACTTATGCAGTGCTAAAAACTCAAGACCAAAATTATCTCTCCTCAGTAGCAGTGAGGAGCACAGTGCCAAAAATACTTGAGTATTTTGAGGGTCCTTTTGAATTTTAGTTTGATTATAACATGAATTCCATGGGAACCCCTATACTCTAACATATAAGTGTTCAATCATCAATTCATTCCACAGAAGGCCTACTACATGCCAAGCATTACAAGTAAAATCATTACAAGCCTGAATTCTATATATTACAATTTTGTAATGACTGCTTAGGAAGACCTGGAAAACTTGGGAAGGCTGTTTAGATAAAGGCAGCTCTTTAGATAAAGTCTAGGCTTGCTAAAGAAACTTCCAGAAGGGAAATCTTTTCCCCATGTTCCACAGTATAAAACTTTCTATTGATTTTTAAAATTAATTCCTTATAATAAAGGTCATAAAAATTTATGTTCCAGAATTGTAAAAACGTGTGCTAACATCTCATGGCAGAGACAGGTGGGAGTCTTCATCCTATGTTCCTCTTTCTGTTGTCCCATACCAACAACAATGGAACAACTGGTTTCTGGAAAGTCAAGAAATGTGGAACCAGTCCTATCCTAAAATAGAGAAGGAAACAAAAATAATCACCAAGATCTAAATTCACTTAAACTTCTCTCTCTTCTCTCTTCAACCTGGGGTGGTAGGTAGTAGAGAAAGCAAAAGACTGAGCCACACAGGTCAACTAAAGTCAGCTTTCCCCAAGGTCCGGTGCTATGCATCGTGCATCTCCACAATCCCTTCCCAACCAGAAGAGACGAGAATCCTAAGGGAGCATGATATAGGACAAGTAGTTTTTTAGGGGGGTTTTTTGTTTGTTTGTTTTTTGAGACAGAGTCTCATTCTGTGGCCCAGGGTGGACTGCAGTGACGCTCACCGCAACCTCCGCCTCCCGGGATCAAGCGATTCTCATGCCTCAGTCTCCCGAGTAGCTGGGATTACAGGTGCGCACCACTGCGCCCGGCTAATTTTTGTATTTTTTTAGTAGAGATGGGGTTTCACCATATTGACCAGGCTGGTCTCAAACTCCTGACCTCAGGTGATCCAACCGCCTCAGCCTCCCAGAGTGCTGGGATTACAGGCATGAGCCACCACGCCCAGCAGGACAAGTAGTTTTTGACTAAAGTTTCAGGAAAAGCTTCCTTAACTCTCCTAGGAACAGACCACATAGGATTATCTCAGAATGAATGAATGAATCTAAAGTGTTTCTCCTGCTTTTAAAATGTATGGTCCATTTTATTAATATATTGCATTAATGGTTAATAAAATGCTTATATTTAGTAATCATACAATTCCATTTACGCCCATAAAAGTCTCCACAAGTGAAAACGATCGATCTTGATAACAAAGTAAGAGATATAAGAAAAAAGCAATGTTTTTTCCTTCTCTAGTCTCACACAACACTTAACCCAACACTTCTGACATCTGACGTATGGGAGGGTTTTCCCCACACACCAAGTAATTCTGCAGATTCTCCATCACATACCACCTCGATGTCCTCCAATTCAATTCTGACACTCTTAGCCTGGAGACAGCGTCAGATCCACTGGTTGAAGGCCTAGTCCCACAAGCCTACAAATGCCCACTTCAGATGCCAATCTCAAGCCCCAGATGGAGGCCTGTGCTCCTGACAGATCAGCTATAAACTAGGGTAGCCACAATTCCCTTAAATTAATTTGCTAGAGCGGTTCACAGAACTCAGGAAATACTTTACTTACACTTACCATTTACATAACAGATATTACAAAGAATACAGATGAAGAGCCAGATGGAAGAGACACATAGGGCGAGGATCTTCAATGCCCTCCCCAGGAACTCCACCCTCCAGGAAGTTCCACATGTTCAGCTATCCAAAAGTTTCCAGAACCCAGTCTTTTGGGTGTTTATGGATGCTTCCTTACATAGGCATGACTGATTAAATCACTGGCTATTGGTGATCAACTCAACCTTCTGCCTCTCTCTTTGGGGTTGTGGGGTGCAAATCCCAAACCTCTAATAATGTGCTGGTCTTTCTGGTGACCAGCTCCCATCCTGAAGCTATTTAGGGACCCCCAGCCACCCATCATCTCATTGGCATATGAAAGACACTCATCACTCTGGAGATTCCAACGGTCTTCGAAGCTGTGTACCAGGAAACAGGATAATTACCAAATACATTTCACAATATCACACAAAGCAAAATTAAATTTTTCCATTTCAGACCCTAATACTGCTACACGGCAGGAATCTGACTTCCTAGCTAGCAAGAAAGAATTTATAATAAATCATCAGAAAATAAAATTGTCTTTAAAGAATCTTGAATTTGAGTAAGCACCAAAAATCAAGGAATACAGCATTTGGATCCAAGGTGTCAAAACTCCCTGCCTGCTCTAGACTACCTTGGTTTATGCCTACTAACCTGGCATAATTATTAGGAGTGCCCACTTCTACTTTAAAAAATGGCACAGTTTGGACAACTGGTTATACATCACTCTATGCAGATAAAAAAGATTTTTCAACATTGTTTGACAAAGAAACATTAAGGCATTCAGAAACATTAGGATGCAAAGAGGTGGTTTGCACAATCTGCTTTTACACTCACCAATTCTGGAAGAGTTAATAAACATGTTAACTTTCACAGCTATAAAGTAATAAAGATTGATCAACATTGAACATTTACGAAATTTCTTCAGACATAAATGTGGAGCTTGGCCTTGCAACCTATATTTGGGAATTTCCATTTCCACCTCTACCCCCAGTCTAGGGATCCATGAGAAAGGCACAGTGATTCAGCATTTCTAAGGCTTTCATTAAAATGTGCTTCAGTGCAATGAAATCAGGAGAGGGAAAAAAAGGTACATAACACAGATATTAAAAACTTCTTTACATAAAAGCAGAAATGAAATTCTATACTTTCTTACTGAAACATTTCTAAAGCAGCAGAACTGGCAAGTGTCTCTCATCACTGTTATTAAGCAAGTCATCCTAAGATACAGCAGAAAGCAGATGGAACACTTTTTATCAACTACTTCAAGAGATGCTTAAAAACAGAAGTAAAAGGGAGGTCACAGAACACAAAGGGTAATTTCAAGGCACCCACCAAACAACAACACTGTCTATACCTGTACGGGAGCACTTTTAGAATCTTGCTTATCTCATTTTCCTGCCTCCTGGAGGATAGATCATGTCTTTTCATCCTTTTAACCTTTATCTCTTATCTTTGAATACTTAGCATACCGCTTGCATATGAGAAAGGTGCAACAAATGTTTATAGAGTTAAACTAATAAGAAAAATGCTTTCAAATACGATTTCTGTAGAAACATTCTTTTCAAAGTACAGTATAAAAGAAACCCAACTATTCCTCTAGGTAAGCGGTGGGTACAGGTTTAACAAACCTTATTATCACGGAAGTCAGGTATATTACAGTCAAACCACGTCCCACCAAAGAAAACAGCCACATAAGGTTAAACTATAAGGCAAGCATTAGTCATAGCCTCAAACATCTGAGTTATTAAAAAGTGCCACTGAAATTTCAAGTCTCTGCTGAGGAGGGCTTGAGCATTCTTTGAAACAGGCTTTGAGGCAGCTGTTTTTCCTTCCTCCAGCATCCTAAGCAAAGGTGCTGGAGTTTGAGAACTAACCACTTAACTCTAAAAGGTCTCATTCATAAGGAAAGCTATAAAAGCCTCAATGCATTTTATCAAAAGGGCCTTGGATTTCTCTTCTTTAAAGACAACACCCATTTCTCCTATCAATAAGACAAATGAGTTAGACATGACCTATTAGTCACCCCATTAAGTTATATAGGAGCTTATGGAGAAAAGGGCTGGCTGAGAACAGAGACACATTTATCTCACGGTGGGTAGCAGCCACTTCAAAATAATGTGAAAGAAAGTTCACCTCTCCAGTAATATTCAAGGTGAAGAAAGCACTTTCTCAGAGACCTAACTTGTAAAAAATAGTAAAAATTAAACATTCAGGTCACCTGAATTTTATATTAGCTGCTTTACAACATAGGAAAATCACCCAAAAGCCTTAAATTTCTAGCTCCCCATTTGTAAAATGGGGATAAATACTGTTACCACTCACCTATATTTTAGAAAACTAATAAAAAACAATGATGTAAACTGCAGATACTTTCTTAAATTCTAGATGTTTAGACAGTTAATTGCTAACTGTTGTTCTCACCTGAACAAGTACAGATCAAAATGAAACATTTAACATACAGACTCTATTTTCTGCTCCCGATAAACAACAGAAGAACCGATAATCCATTGTTTAAATCTGCTCGGGGTTCAAAATAATATTAATTCAAGTAAAGAATAGTAACACAGGGAAAAAGATCCCTTAAACTCTTTGGATATTAAACATTTGTCTTCTACTGATACCTTGGTAAATATCAGTTCCACTTTCTGAACTAACCTGAAAGTAAAGCAACTGCTCATAATCAATGCAGAGTAGGTACTGAAGAATTATGCCAATCAAAATTGGTCTTCATATTATGCAAATAATTTGTGTCTAGTCACCATAATCTTTTTAAATGTCAAATTGTTTACCTATTGAAAATACAACAGAAAATTTTTTTTTCCTCCTACTGATCAATTAAAGAAACAGACTGTTTAAACACTCAATTTCTAAGTGGAAAGACTGATGGAGACACTGCAGCCAAATAGCTTCTTGAAGCAATCTTGCATGTGCAGATTGAAAGCAGTTTTTATATCATGGGAGACAGTTTTATATCAAGGCAGAATACTGCACCCTTACATAAAGCCTCACAGAAACAAGTTAGAATCATAAACACATTCACTTAACTACTGTTCAGTGCCCAATGTACCTGAAAGATACATGGATATCATTTCAGGTATCAGAAAATTCTAGTTCCAGTTTAGTCAGAGAAGAGAAACAACAGTCTTATCCCAGTAGATCCCAAGTTAATTCCTTCCAGTTTCTCCCCTATCATAATATTAATTGCTTTCTTAATAAAATGCTGCAGTAAAATTTGTGAACTCAGATTCTGGCAGAAAATCAAATCAAAGGAAAACTCTTCATGATAGTTACTTTTGCATAGCCAGCCTCCTGCCTACCTTATTATGTTTTTGCTGGTGTCTTGCCTTTGTGTCAAGAACGTGATAAGGGCTTTCCGAGTCTTGGTTGATGTAATATATGAGTCTTGAAGGCAGTGTGATTTCTTTCTGCATTGCATTGCTGTAACTGATATTACTGCTGCTATTCTGTTGCAATGTATTGTCTTCATCTGCCAGGACTCCCAAATTTTTTTCTGCAGTTTCATTCCAATGCGGAGCTGGTGGAGGTAGGGGGGTGGGGGAGCAGAAAATACAAACATACACAAACACACACATATTTACCCCATAAATACATAAGCACTAAAATGCATTTTTCCTTTAATTTCAAACACAAAGTTTTCTATTTATAAGCAGTTAAGAAGTAGAGCTAGAGTAAAGCAAGTTATTTCAACAATAAAATGGCCTGGAGAAGTTAATAAATAGCCAATAAGGCTTATACAACTGTGCACTATTTATTTTGATTTATGTCTTATATATACATTTCTAGTCAGACTCAAATCTATACTTCTAAGTGTTGGGGGGGGGGTAGAATGAACTTGAGGGAAGAAGAGTCATTAAATGAACATGTTCAGGGGTCCTGCCCCCGATCTCCACCCCTTCTCTGAGTCCACAGAAGCACAACTCTACTCTGCCTAGTGGCATCCCATCCAAGAGCTAAGAACGCTCCTAAGATAACTTGAGTACTGAATTTATGGATACCGAATATTAATCGACTCTTTTAACAAAATGGACAATTCCCTTCTCTTTTAACTTTAAGATGAGCAAACATACTTTGCCATGTAGGGATACAGATGCTGGCAGCTTCCCAATTTCTTTTTATTTTCCTGACAAAGCCAGCTTTCTGCTTTCAGTGACTTCCAATCATCAATATATAGAAGATGGTATTATATTAATTGTTCATTATAATGACAAGCACTTTGAGAAATCAGAACCAAAGGTCGTGCATGAAGTATGTCTTCAGCACCTTAATTCTTTGGTCCCCGAAGTGTGCCTCCCCCACCTTAATTCCAACCGCACTGAATGCGCCGGATACGAAATTTGAGGAAACAGCCCATTACCACTATTATCACTACATCCTCCCCGCATTCACATTAAGGTTCCACCACGCAAGTAGCAACTTGCTCCCTCGCTGTATTTCCCATCCACTGGTTGCCCCTCCGCAAGTTGCACAGAGATCGCTGAGGGACCCAGGATCCACTAAACACCTCCCAGTGGAACCAACAAGAATTGGAATGGGTTTTTCGCGAATGCAACAGAAATGGACTTCCAAAAGTGAACTGGGATGAATGGGGGTTTGGGAACGAGAAGGGTGGAAAGACAGGCAGGGAGGGAAGGAAAGGCCGAGCCGGGGACAAGCCCGGAGCACACGGACCCGCGCGCCCTTCGCTTTCCTCTGCAGGGCCCCGCGGGAAAGCCAACGCAAAGGGCACGGGGCCATACCCACCGCTGGGCGCAGCAGCCCCCCAGGCGCGGGGCCGGGACGAGGCGGCGAGCGGAGGCAGCAGGAGAAGGACGAGAAGCAGGCGGCAGGGCGGCGTGCGGGCCGGGGCGCTGGCAGGCACCGAGCCGGCGGGGCCGCGTTGGGGGCCGCAGGAAGCGCCGGCAAGGCTGCAGCCCGCCAGGGGCGGCTGCCGCGAGCTGCTGCCGGGCGGCTTCATGGCTCATAGCTCCCGGGCGCCGCTCCGTGTGGCCGGCGAGAGCGCCGGGCTAGCTGCGGGGCGGCCGCGGGCGGAGCCGGTCACGCCGGCTCGGCGCGCATGGTGCCGCGGCGGGCAGGGGGCTCCGGGCTCGGGGCACGGGGCGCGGGGCTCGGGGCTGGGCGGCGCCCCCTTTCCCGGCTCGCCTAGCCTCGCAGCCACTCCCGGGGCGGGACGCAGAGGAGTCCAGGGGTCCTCGCCGCTCCGCCAACTTGGAGCCTCCCCAGCGGCTACTCCCTCCCCCGGCGGGCGCGGCCGCTTCAGCGACTGCGGGGGCTGCCGCCGGGCCTGAGGATGCTGAGGCGGCGCGCGGGAGCGAGCGGCGCGGGGACGCGCGGGAGCGAGCGGCGCGGGGACGCGCGGAGCGGGCGTGCGCCCCGCCCCCCGAGAGCGCGCCCGAGCGGGGCTTCGGGTGCTGATGCTGTTGCTGGATGCTGTGCTGCTGCTGTTGCCTGGCCCGGAACGCACTGCGCATGCTTTGTTGGGGGGCGGGGAAGGGGGTAAAGCAGCAGAGTGATGCAGCAGCCCAAGCAGCATCGGAGGTGACGGGTGGTACCTCAAAAGATGGGGGCGGTGGAGGGGGAGCCGGCAGTCACGGATAAGCCAGAAGAAAGAGAGTACGGGGGTTTCCAGGCCAGAGACAGGGATGATCGGGAGAAAACAACCAGCCGAAGTCCACCTGCCTTTTCCACCACCCCAGACTTCACATACCCTCTCCTATTCCAACCTCTTCCTGCTCTGGATAAACTAAGGCCACGCATCTCCTTCTTAATCCCTTATATATTTGCTTCCTGCATGTAAATATAAAGGATTGCAGCCGGGGAGGTAAAAATAGCGCGGCTCCTCATTCAGATTGCCAGCAGCGGGTGGGACTGCGGCTGAGAAGAGCGTTTGCGCCGCAGGCTGGCGCGGAGTGGCAGGAATCCCCCGCGCAGGGGCGCTCTGCCCCGGCCTGTGTCCTCCCTGCCGGTGCCTGGGGTCTTTGAGGAAAGCACAAGAAGCCGGACGGTGTTTGCTCAAAAGTTCAGAAAGTATGACTGGGCATATTCGGGAAGGACTTCGACATTCTGGCGGGGAAGCAATACAGAGATTAGAAACCAAGTGTGTGGCAGCTATCTTGGGAAATCCGTTGTTTGTCAACCACGGGGATGGGCACACATTTAGGAGGACACATTTCTATTTTTGAGATCCAGTCCTGACTTCTGCAGAGGAAAGGGGAAGTTTTCTCTCGTTGCTGTAAAAAATGTAAATCCCTGACTTCGGTGGGTTCGCAGCCACTAAATCTGATGGCTTCAGATAAGAGTCTGTGGCATATTTCTGCCCCCAAACTCTCATAATGCAAGCATTCATTTATTCACCCTCCCAATGACAATCTGAGTGATAACAATGTTGTCTTACTCCGACATCCACGGGGTGAGGGCTGGGGTGGAGAATTCCATGATTAAAAGAAAGAATGTGGGTATAAAAGTGCCATGGCCATGACAGAACTCAGTGTTAGCCATCATCTTCTCCACTCACACTTAACAAAGAGAAAAGAAGAAGACATATACGCGCGCGCACACACACATTACAAAACTGTTAGGTAAATACTGAGATAACTTCCTTTCTATGTTGAGCTAGGATATTATTATCACATATTTATTCCTGTAAATTTGTAATTGTTGCTACCTCCCCCATGTGAGGGCAACAACAGTTTTCCCTTCTGCACACCATTGTGTCCCTAGGACCTCACACAGTGTCTGAGGCACAGAGAAATCGCTTGGAAAATATGTACTAAATGAATAAAGAAATGGGTGATACACACAAGCAGAAGTCACACTTGGGGCAGGCTAGTGAACACTCTAGCCCCACCGGAGTGCCCACTGCAGGTCAATGTTCTTAGGGTTGTCTCCCTCAAGTCAAGTATTCTCTGGCTAGGTTTTCCAAATTTATATTTGACACAATATGCATCCTGAAAAAGGGCCTGAGAGAAAGCAAGCCAGAAAGGAGATGTACAAGCAATGAGAAGGGAGAGGGAAATGAAAGGTGCAAAGCACCCAGATGCAAGTTACTTGAAAGGCATCTCTTGCAATTCAGTGACAACCTCTTAAAGTCTGTTCTGATAAATAAACCTATCAGCCAACCTGGACTGACCAAACCCACCCACCAGTTACAACACATCATTTCATGCACTTGGGGTATGGAATGAGGATTCAATATAGTTTCTTTTTTTCTTTTTTTTTTTTTTTTTTTGAGATGGTGTCTTGCTGTGTCACCCAGGCTGGAATGCAGTAGTGCGATCTCAGCTCACTGCAACCTCTGCCTCCCAGGTTCAAGCGATTCTCCTGCCTCAGCCTCCCAAGTAGCTGGGATTAGCTGGGATTACAGGCACGTGCCACTACACCCGGCTAATTTTTGTAGTTTTAGTAGAGACGGGGTTTCACCATGTTGGCCAGGCTGTTCTCAAACTCCTGACCTCAGGTGATCCACCCACCTCAGCTTCCCAAAGTGCTGGGATTACAGGCGTGATCCACCGCACCTGGCCTCAATATAGTTTCTAATAAGGGGTTGGGGTATTTACAAAGAGGGATGTTGTCTTATGTACTATAGTCAAAAGACTGCATTTATTTACAGAACTTTAATGGTTACAGACATTGCTAGAGTCAAAATAAGATATCAATAAATGAAATAATGAGTCAGAGAAAGAGTACATTACTTAGAAAAAATTTACTGGAAGTTTAGTCTTTAAGCCATATATTTAAGGGAAGGTTAAAAACAGAATCAAATATTAACTGATTAAATAATTTAATTGGTCAACTTGGTAGAGTTAGTAATATTCTTATTAGGTAGTTCAGAATTTTTATTTTTATAGAGTTTACTTCTAAATATTCCCCTCTGTGCTTTCATAAGATTTAGTGACTTGCTTAATCACTTGCCACCTACTGCTTTGCTCTGTATTCGTGTATGTGCATATCATCATTCTTCCATCAAAAAATACTGAGAGCAAGGCTGTATCTTGGTCATCTCTGACTCCACAGCCTAGTATAGTACCTGGAATCAAATCAGCATTCATAGAGGGGCACTCACAGGTAGGAAACAGAGGGATTCAGCAAGATGGACTGGAATAAAGAAATATACCAGAAGCTTGAGTGCTATAATGGCCCTGGTTACCAATGTGTGTTGGATCCTAAGGCCATCAGAGGATCACTGGAGTGATCTAGTCACAGTGGCAGACATGGAGAAATGCTGCAGTCGTAGGTGAAGGCAGGTGGCCAGAAGGTCCATGGGAAGGAAATTACACCAGGCAATATGGACCCTAGGTAAGCACCATGAGGGGTGCATGTGAGCAATACCCAGGAAGGGTCGTCATACTGTTCACAAAAATGGTCCATTGGTCTGGTGAGGGAGGAGATCAGAAGGTCTCTATTTGCCAAAATCTGTTTCCAGTGGTAGAACTGGACCCACTTTGCAACCAGTGAGAAGACTGGGTCTGGACAGGAGCAAGCAAAGGACAGAAATAGAAATATTAGATGTAGCAGGCCTTGGCCTCAAGAGGGCTGAGATGCTAGGGGAGAAAGTAGAAGAAGGGGATGACAGAAGAGAGGTCCAGAGGGTAAAATAAGTAAAAAAGCAGGGGAAGGTAGCAAAGCAGACTTACAAGAGCAATTGGAATGGAATAAGCATTTGCCCAAAAAGTCAAGGTCAAAGAAGGTGTGCAGCAAATTAGTGGATGGTGCTGATACTAAGAGAGATCTAGGGAGTGAAAGCAAGAGCATGAACAAGCCTCAAACAGCAGCTCTGGCTCAAGAGCAGCTTATACCCAGGAGCTCGCTGGGACAGCCTGTGTTACAGAGCCAGCTAGAGAAGGTTTCTCAGCCTCCTTTTAGAATAGCTGTGAAGACTGATTTTACCAGCGGAAGTGGATACTTCAAAGGAGAAAAGACAATGCATTTCTTCATGAAAGTAAAAAGCGAGTGTGCTTCGTTATTGGTACTTGCCACGTGGTTCAGGAGTCAGCAAACATTTTCTGTACAAGGCCAGATAATAAACATTTTGGGTTTTGTGGGCCATATGGTCTCTGCTGCATTTTTTTTTCTTTACAAACCTCTAAGAATGTGAAAACCATGCAGCCTACAGGACCTGGTTTGTCAGCTAGCCATTTTTAAATCTCTCTCTCTCTCTCTCTCTCTCTCTCTCTCTCTCTATATATATATATATATATATATATATTTACCTTAAATATATATACCTTATAATATATACTATATATATACACCTTAAATATATATATATGTAAGGTTAAATTTTTTTCATCAACTGTATTATGTCCTGTGCATATAAGCAGAAAAAGCGAAGGAAGCGTGTGCCACAATATAGAGGGCTCTAATTCTAGAAAAGATTGCTCTCCATTGTAATTTAGATAGTTGTTTAATCAGTAAGTAGTCACTAAATTCTCAAAAGATGTTCATCATTTGAAGGGATCCCTTAGGAAAGAAGTATTTCTCCTTTTGAAGCCAATTCTCAGATGATGATAATGGGAGAAAAGTCAGAAATCATTCACCAAAAAAAAAAATACAGATGTCAAAAAGATTCTAGACATTTCTTTTGTTTTTCCAAGCTATACTTTCTTGTGAGTAGGGGATGCTGAATGGATGCTACAGCCATGAGTGGTCAGAGAATGGAGTAATACATGCACTCTAGTCCTTCCCAGAGCCTGTCACCATCTGGGATCTGCCTGTGTTCCTCAAACTCAATCCTGTAGAGCGGCCATGCGGCAGGGGATACACACTCCTGACACAGAGCCACACCCCATGTCACAGGCAACCTTCAAGTTCATGAAAATTAGTCTGCAAGTCTGCAGGTCTGTGTTAATTACACCACTGCTCATTCTGAAGACCAGGACAAAGTGGGACAATTTCAAAAGTCACTGTGTGACTAATTTCAACACGACTGGGAAAAGAAAAAGTATTCAATACCAAAAGACCAATGGCAACGGACATTTCTAGGGGAGTAGTGGAACAGACAAAAATGTGTTACAATGTCGAGCATGAAAATATCCGAAGAAAGGTAACCACAGAAGAAACCTAAAATTGAGTTCTTAAAGGAAATTATGTTAAAAGGAGTTTAATTAGGAATTCAGATAGTATAAGATAAATTTGAAAACAGTTGATTTTCCCCCACTCTAAAACATTAGGTTTGTTTATCTAACAGTTTTGTGTGTTTACAAGCTGGGCACAAAGGGATACATGAGCATGTCATGGTGATTCGTGGTGATAATATGTGCTCTGCAAAACTTGGAAGAATTGTGTTTATTAAGAATAATCGCTGAGTCAACACATAATCATTAAGTCCTCACTGGGTCACAGAGCAGCACTAGGAGTTTCTACAGAAGTAAATTACCACGTCCTACTGGGGGTGGGAGTGGGGGCTAAACTATAGCAGCTGAATTGCATATGAAAAGGTTAGAACCCCAGCAGACAGAATTAATATGCTAATGTAATCCCATCCGCTTGCATAATAGCAATGGCTAAGTCCTTTAACAATGCCTGCTTTAATTATTACTGTGCACTTACACACTGCAAAGTGCTTTTGTCTATATTATTTTACGTGATCCTCAACATTGTGACACAGGGCAGTTACTGTTATTGTTTTTAGGAGCCCCACCTTAGAGGTAAGAGTGCTAAGATTCACAGCTCTTTGCAGGGATCCTCGATCCCTGCACATTCAAATCACCTAGAGAGCTTTTTTAAAAACACTTTTATACATTGTAGGTGTACAATGTGATGCTTTGATATACATAGTAAAATGATTACTACAGTCAAGCAGATTGACATATTCGTCACTCACATAGCTACCCATTTTTAGTATACAATACAATATGAATAGCTGTAGTCCTCATGCTGTACATTAGCTCTCTAGACTTAGTCATCCTACACAACTGCAACTCTGTACCTTTTGACTACATCTCCCCTAAGTCTCCCTCCCATCCTGCCCTCTGCTGCCCTCCACCCTTGGTAGCCACAATTCTAGCCTCTGTTTCTATAAATTCAACCTTTATTTTTTAGATCCCACATATCAGCGAGATCACACAGTATTTTTCTTTCTGTGTCTGACTTATTTTATTTGGCATAATGACCTTCAGATTCATCCCTGTTGTCACAAATGGCAGGATGGCCTTGCTTTTTGATGCTGATTAAAATTTCGTTGTATAACTGATTTGATCTTTGCAAATTATATGAATGTATTAAATGATCCCATGTACCCTGAAACTACATGCCTCTATTATGCAGCAATTAAGAAAGAAAAAAATTACATACATACACAATTATAATTTCTTTATCCAATCATCCACTGACAGACACCTCAGTTGTTTCTATATCTCAGCAATTGTGAATAATGCTGCAATGACCACGGGAGAGTGCAGATATTACTACAAGGTGATGATTTCACTTTGTTTGGGTATATAACCAGAAGAGGTATTGCTGGGTCATATGGTTGTTCTCTTTTTTTCTCTCTCTTTTTTTTTTTTTTTTTTTTTTGAGATGGAGATTCACTCTTGTTGCCCAGGCTGGAGTGCAATGGCACGATCTTGGCTCACTACAACCTCTGCCTCCCAGGTTCAAGTGATTCTCCTGCCTCAGCCTCCTGAGTAGCTGGGATTACCGGCATGTGCCACCACTCCTGGCTAATTTTGTATTTTTAGTAGAGACAGGGTTTCTCCATGTTGGTCAGGTTGGTCTTGAACTCCCGACCTCAGGTGATCCACCAGTCTCAGCCTCCCAAAGTGCTGGGATTACAGGCGTGAGCCACCGCACCCGGCTGGTTGTTCTCTTTTTAATTTCTTTAAGAACTTCCATGCTGTATTCCACAATGGCTGCACTAATCTATTTGGTTGGTGCAGAAGTGCCATTAAAAGTAATGGTGCCGGCCGGGCGCGGTGGCTCACGCCTATAATCCCAGCACCTTGGAAGGCCGAGGCAGGCGGATCACGAGGTCAGGAGATAGAGACCATCCTGGCTAACACGGTGAAACTCCATCTCTACTAAAAATACAAAAAATTAGCCAGGCGTGGTGGTGGGCACCTGTAGTCCCAGCTACTCAGGAGGCTGAGGCAGGAGAATGGCATGAACCCGGGAGGCAGAGCTTGCAGTGAGCCGAGATCACACCACTGCACTCCAGCCTGGGTGACAGAGCGAGACTCTGTCTCAAAAAAAAAAGTAATGGTGCCATTAAACGTAATGGCAAAAACCACAATTACTTTTGCACCAACTTAATACATTCTCACCGATGGTGTACAAGAGTTCCCTTTCTCCACACCCTCACCAACATTTATCTCTTGTCTTTTTGATAGTAGCCATCCTAACAGATGTGAGGTGATATTTCATTTTGAATTTATTTTGCACATAGAGAGCTCTGATACTCTACCAATTCCTGAGTGTTTAGGATTTTCAAGACTAGGGCTCAACATCAGTGTTTTCTAAAATCCTCCCAGATTAATAAAATGTGCAACCACAGTTAAGACACACTGGGTAACAAGATTTCCTTGAGGTTACGTAGCTGCTCAGCATCAGAACTGGAATTCAAACCCTGAATTGGAATCCTGTGCTGTTCCCAAGTTTTTCTTTCCTATTTCTGCTTTTATCACAAGTTAACCTTGGATAAAGAAAGATAGAAAACAAGTTTAATATAATTGCTGGAGGACCTAAAAAAATATAGAATTAGAAAATATTTGAGCCAGAAGTTATCTCTGAGATCATCTAGGAGTCCAAACTCATTGTTGTGCAATTATGGAAACAACGGCTCAGAGTTTCAGCTCATTTCCCAAGGTCACACAACAGTCTGTGCAGAGCTGGGACTAACATTCAAGCCTTTTTCTGGCTTTCCAGTACTTTCCATAGTGTTTAGTACAAGGTTTGTTTAAAAAAGTGTTTTGGCTTAGAAAAATCCCAGTCAGCCTGCCATGTAATCCATTTCCAGTCTTCCACGTGACACTGCTTTGTAAAGAGAAGAAGGATACAGCTGTGAGGTCTGGGTCCCTACATCACCGATTCCTGTAAGCCCAGTTCCACAGCTTGAAAGGATAAAATAGTCTCATTCTGCAGCATGAAGAAAGCCCAGTATGCAAGGAAAGTCCCACATGTTTGGAGGTAATCCACCCAAATAAAACACCTGTCTTTCTCCTACTTCTCCTGTCTTTTGTATCTCAAATACAAAAGATCTCAAGGTGATTTCCAAGGAACAATTTTCTTATCAGATGAGTTTCTTATATTACCCTTATTATGTCTTACAAACTCAACAACTGCAGCTTCTTAAATTCCATTTTAGGTAGTACCAAATTTGGTGAGAAACATAAAAGAATGCAGGAAATAATAAAAATAAAATAATAACAAGAAGAAGGCAGAGAAAGAAAAGGAATCATGTATGTAGCATCTACTGTGTGCCAGATGCTTTGTTAACTGTTTTAGCTGGATAATGTCACTTACTCCCTTTACAACTTTATGAAGGAGCTACTATTGTTACTCTCAATTTTACTCATGAGAGAACTGAGGCTTGGAGAAGGTAAATAACTTGTCTAAAGTCTAAAAAGCAGGGCTGGGTCAGAAATCCGTGTATGCCTGACTCCAAAGAATAAACTCCCAACCATACCATAATGACTCACAAATACTATCAATCTATCAAGTGTAATAATAAAAATCACATTAAAAAAACTGCAGAATTCAATCTTCTACCAATTCCACATTTCACTAGTGATCAATTTCGTTTAAAATTAGAGTTAAAAAAAAAACCACACACACTGATGTTGTCTAATCTATTTGACTACAGCCCCAAAGCAAACCACCTGAAACAGTGTCTTCAAAGGAAATATAACATTTGAAATCATGGTTCTTGGCTATAAACCAACTTTACACTTTATTTTTGTCTGTTTAAAACCACTGACACAGCCAGGCGCGGTGGCTCATGCCTGTAATCCCAGCACTTCGGGAGGCTGAGATGAGTGGATTATTTGCGGTCAGGAATTTGAGACCAGCTTGGCCAAAATGGTGAGACCTCCTCTCTACTAAAAATACAAAAATTAGCCAGGCGTGTTGGTGTGTGCCTGTAATCCCAGCTACTACTCAGGAGGCTGAGGCAGGAGAATCACTTGAATGCAGGAGGCGGAGGCTGCAGTGAGCCGAGATTGCACCATTGCACTCCAGCCTGGGCAACAGAGTGAGACTCCGTCAAAAAACAAACAAACAAACAAACAAAAAACCATTGACACATTCATCCCCACACAGAACTATTCTGAATTATGTTCCTAACTTCACATTAAAGATTTTTGAATGCAGCCATTCTATACAATTCTTCGTATAATCCCAAAACAAAACCTAATTTGTTTCTTACGTTGGAATACCTCTCTATAAGAGAAGGCCAAGATCTCCACTTACCAGATAATTTATTTTTTTCTAAATTTTAAGTTAACCAACATAGCTACCCATTAAATTTAATAGGATCAATTATAATAGCAACATTTATTAACCACCTCCCCATATCAGATAACATCAGCTTTTGCCATATTAAGATGTTTAGATTTCTAAAGACATAATTGTAAAAGCTTAAGCCCTGAACAGAAGTAATTAAATACTTTTATTCTGCTATTGTCCTAAGAAAAAAAACAGCTAACATTTGTATGGCTCCTTAAACCACACAACATGCTTTTGTACACCTAACGTCATTTAGTGCATTGCAGTGCGTAGGCCAGTGCTGAACTAGCTGTATTATTTCTGTTGGATTGTCATGGGATTTGACTATTCATGACATGGATATGGACATGGCTTAAAGGCAGGAATCAAATGAAAGAGACTAGCAGTCACTTCTCCAGAAGGAAAAGATAAACTCTAGGATTCTCTAGATCTAAGACTTTTTATTTGCTATTTTGATAAATTACCTGAAAGATTGCACATTAAAATGCCCAGTCATGCAAAAAAACCATTGAGTTCTTCCAGGTATTCAAATGTTTGGGTGAACTGGGATAAACTATAAACAGAGTTTCTGAGGCTTTAGGACATAAGGAAAAGCTGATAAAAGAATTTTAATAACAACAAGTAAGTTTTGGAAAAAGTAGTCTAAACTATTTGCATATCTAAATAGCCATTCTTCCCACCTAGAAACATCAGTGCACACACAGATTATTATCCAAATTACAACTGGCACTAACACACACACACACACACACACACACACACACTCATCTCCAATATGGGAAACAGACTGTGGAGTTAATATTGACTATTCCTTGAATGGGATAAAACAACTTCATCTAAAAAATGCCAACATCACAACATTGGTAACAAAATAGAAAATATCAAAATTACACCAAACTCTGATGTACAAGCCATATAAAGGAATTGGATACAATCCAGGAAAAATCATTTTAAATGACCAAGCTGCTGCCAGATGAAAATCTAAAAAGATAAGAATTGTACCATCTGGCAAGATAAAGAATGAGAGAGAACATTTTCTAAGGCTTTAAAATCATGAGCAGTGTAGATAAGGTGAACATAACCATCCAAATCCTGAACTATTTTAATGAAGGGGTAGCATCTGAAATTTGAGAGAGATATTGTGAGCAAATAACAAGCAATACTGCACATAGTACTTTATTTATTTGTAGTGGACCTCTGTTGGGGAACCCTCCCTGTTCAGATATCAGAATTAGGCCCAGGTTTTTCTCCTTAAATACTGAATGGAAAAGTCATAGATGTACTCAGGTGAATTCTCAAAATTATCAGCTCAGAAGTTCTTTAAATATAATGATTATTAGCTGACATATTGAACACTTACTGTTTTCCTATTACTGCAAATAGCTTTACATGTATTGTTTCATTTAATTAAATATGATCTTCCCATAACAGACTTAGACATTATTTGTGAACATCCCACTTTAATTTTTTCCTTATCTTTAGCTCTAATGGGTGGTAATTTAATCTATTTGGCACAGTTTTCTAAGCATAGCTGAAAAAAAAGTCTAGATGTCTGGTGATATAAGATAATGTAAATAATAAACATTATTTTCACCAAGTAAAAAATAAAAATAAGAAAGTAAGTCCCCACGGCCATGTCTATCCCTCATAACCTTGTTCCCCAGGTCCTCCCCCAACCCACCCATCACAGGTCATTCATTTAGGGTCAGGAGCCTGATACAAGCTGGACCACTCACAGCGGCACTTCATCTTCCAGCCACAACTGATCGGCTCAGTGAGGGCAATCAAGGTCCTTACTGGGGACTGTTTTTTTTGTTTTTTGGGGTTTTTTTTGAGACGGAGTTTCACTCTGGTTGCCCAGGCTGGAGTGCAATGGGACTGTTTTTTTAGCTGGATAAAATGGGATATAAAGCTCAGCTGCTCTGTTTCCCATTCTACAAAAGTCGAGGATAACATCTACTGCAGTGAGAGGCACTAAGAAGGTTCTGGCTAGGAAGAGCAGATAAATTATTTACCTAACCATGACGCTTTTGCAGTCATGCATAAACTAAAAATATCTTAGACAAACTCAAATGTGTGATCCTTCTAGTCCTTACCAATAAACAGTCCCTGAAAGACACAACAATGCAAGGATTGGACAATGGCTGTTTTATGTATTTATTTATGTATCTAGTATTTGAATATTACAGAGACTAGTTTTGAAAAAGAATAGTCTCTACTTTAATTATAGTAATAAGGTTAATTAAATGATTTTTTAATATTTCTGGTTGCTAGAGAAACTTATTAACAACAACAGCACCAGGATGGTGTGATGGACATGAAGTTGAGCTGCTCAGGTGCCCCTCAAGGAAGGCTCATTAACACAGCTGCGGGGAGTGTTGTCAGCAGACAGCCCTCAGCTCTCAGCCTTTGTAGAGGCTATTTCAGTAGTGAAGAGCAATGATGTCCCAGGGTCATACCATTTCTAGGATGAGCCACAGCCAATAACCGGTTGAGGTGAGGATATAAAGACCTGGCCATATTGAGTAGGCTTACTAGATTTAGCATATAAAATTACAGGATGCCCATTTAAATTTGAATTTCACATAAACAATAAATGACTTTTACTATAAGTAAACCTTATTCAAAATTTGAATATGAAATTCAAACGTGCAGCATTTTCTCTGGCGACCCTAATGTTGCCCCAGTGCAACACAACTCTGATGGGCCATTCTCACCCCAGAGCTCCCTGTGGGGTGTGCCAAATAGCTCTTAGATCAGCTAGTTTCTCCCCCTGCCTCCCTCCTTCCCAAGGCCATTCCCTAGAAAGCATCTTGTATGTGAAACTCTGTCTCAAAATTTGCTTCCCAGAGAAAACCGACCACAGAGGCATCAACCTTCTGTTTTGCCCAACTTTTAAAAAATTCAGATCATAAAAACAATACCCCAAAGGTATTTTGAAATCTAAAATGACAAGAAAATGATTACTACATATTTTATTGATGGTTATATTTTAATAGTTTTTAAAGTATTGATTTAGAATATTAATAATCATTATATAATAATATAAATAATACATGTTCATGAAAATAACTATTTTCCAAAAGAAAAAGGGTGGTGAAAAGAGTGGATTCTTTTATATTTTATATTTTTGCAAGTTGCTTTCTTGAGTGTATCATTACAAGACTGGTGGATTTTCATATCTGCTCATGCATGTAACTTGTTATTTTGGTTGAAGTATATGAAAAAAAGTAAACTTTTCAGATAATTGTAGATATTCATCTTTAACATAAACTAAAACTACACAAGTGGTAGTTTCTTAAAGGTTAGTTATGATATAAAACCTGAAACTTTATCATCGTTGAATTAAATCACTGTTACATTAAGATACGTGGGTCTATCTTGCATATTTGACAGAACGTATTTTAGCAAACATATTCACTTTAAATGAATCATATTTATGATACAGTAGAGCTAGAGTTTTTCTGGGTTTTATATAAACTTTACAACATATTTGAGCCATTGCATAATCAACATGTATATATATTCCTTTCCTCTTTATGGAACTTAATTTTATTATCTTTTAAAAAGAAATACTGGTAGTAAATCTTTGTTATTTGTTATGAGATTTCATGTTCTAAGTCAAGAAAGCAACCCTCAGTTATAACATTGTTCTGGGAATTCACAATCCATTTTATGATGATTTGTTTTATTAAAGAATTTACAAGAAATGCATTTTAGCAAAAATTGAGAACTGCTGAGAGCAGCAGAAAGGCAGTGAAGTGCAGTGGCAGGACCAGGCAACCCAGGACCGAAGGGTCCAGGATCAGTCTTATGAGGAGTTCAAAAAGTGGTTTACGTGGAAGCACTTGGTAAAATGCAACATACTGCAAAATGGTCAATTATTATATTTGAGAATTTACATTTAGTTAAATGTTGTTTGCTAGTTGCTATAAATTATTAAATGGAAATAGGTGTGGCATATGTCTGTAATCTTTGATGATGTTTATGTCATAGAAGAAAACCATGCTTTATTGTAATACAAGCCTTGGGGCAGATCGTAGGCTGAAATTTGGTGATACCCAAGGATGCATATCTTATTCTGGAACATTTCCCAGAGATGCAGCAACATTTATAAGCCTAACTTTCACCCCGTGAAGTAAAGCACTGCATATATCTAGGTTATATTGTACTGGTTTTATCATTATTAACATACATATTCTTTATGGCATAAAGGAGCATCTAAGGCCCCTTGTCACTATAACATAATAGCAAATGTTCTTACGCTTTAGTGGCTGTCAATCACTATAAAGAAATGAGATACAAGCCATGCTCAATCAACAAGATGAGGCAAACACAAAAGTAACCCACCTCCAGTCTAGTACAAACTTTATATAAAGGTGACAACAGTGATCAGAATTCCTAGTTGACAAAGTTCATCCTGCACCCACTCTGCAATGCACTCACACTTTGTTCTGTCCCACCCCTACCAGTCCCTCCCCTTCCCTACCAGCATCCCCCTTGGCCCTCCGCGCCCCCCTCCATTGCTCCTGTCTCCTCACCATCCTCTATGTCTCTTCCTAGATTCTCTAGAATCATATGACTTACCTTCTGTCTTGTGGATTGGATTTCCTTGGCTGACTATGGGGAATATACTCATCTGCAGTGGCTTTGGGATAACTTCTCATCAATTAAGCCATGCCAAGCAGTTCAATAGGCCAACCAGGAGCCATGGAGGGTGCTGTGAGGTCATGTTAAGTAGTGACTAATGAGAACAAGCTGGAATAACAAGACTCCTAAGTACTCAAAGGACCCTTCCTTCCCAGTGAGGGGAGTGCTGAGTCGGAGAAAAACAGTGCCTCCAACAAATTTGGTCATGTTCTATTTGGCCTGGGATCAGGCCTGTCTGCAGCTTCTGTTGGCCATTTTTGCATTTATCGCCTGATAAAAAACCTCACATGGTTGTTCCCAAGCAAGAAGAAATATTACTAGAATAAAATGTACATAATAAAAACAGCATATCACTAAAGAAACATGGTCATAATTAAGATGAGAAAAAGTTAGATAAAATGGCCAAAAGTTACAGAGTTACAGAAGCTCTGAGTCAAGAGTCACTGAATTCATCCTCCCTCCCAGTGGAGGGGACTCCCTGTAAAACAAGGGTTGAAAAGTCGCATTCCTATAGGGACTAGGCATGTAATTTAAAAAGTAAAGGTACCGGGCAATAAGGAATGGCGAAGACTGTGGCAAACAAGAAAACACATGCCTTTCTACATCAGGCCACCCTTACACAGCTCTATTCAATTGTTATCTTCAGGCAAATGGGCCCAATGCTGCTAGATTTTCCCATTTTTCAAGAGAAACTTGAAATCTAGATTTTGAGTAACTTTAAAATGTTTAAGTGTTTACTCATTCTACTGTTTTGAAACACTGCCTGCAGTCAAAGAAAACATGAAAATGGACCAGATCTGGCTCATCGTAGTGACTTCTGCTCTATGAAAAACCTGTCTAATAGCCCGATATAAATTTCAGCAGCTCTAATCCTAAGCTCTCCCTGCAGTGAACCAAAGCTCATATTGGCACAACTTCCACTTTAGATTATATAATTCTGTCCTATGGATCAACACAGAATAACCCTATTCTTTGTATGTATTTCCTTTTTGTTCTTGAAATGTTCTCCAAAAACACTGTCTAAGCCTTTACTTTTACTCTTACCTTTGCTAATACACCCAGTCTCTTTTTGCTCTCTGAACTATCTTTTTGAATTTATCTATTACTGTTTTATGCTTTTCTTTAAATTGTCTTCATCTTGCCCCTTCTCAAGTATCTACAGTGAGTCTCTACTGCCTTTCATTTTTAGTGTGTCTGTGGTCTGGCCCACGGTTACCTATTTAAATCTCCCAGTTTGTACCTTCTGCTCTAACATATTGTTGGCAGGAAATGATTCTTCCATTCCTGATGTTTCTTTCCAAGGAGTTGGAAGTCTACTGCAGTCTACTCCTGCTTTTCTCTGTCCCTGTACTGTTTCCATCTCTGGTATACAGAAGTGATTTAGCTGATGAGTAAATTTGAGAATAATAAACTGGGCATGCTTACATAAGCTTTCTTTTCTCCTACCTTGGAATTTCCTTTCTCCTACTGGGATTGAGATACCCACAGAGAACAGAAGTCCTCCATCAGTAAGAGTGATATTTTGGCCTCCACCTGTCTTTTAACTTGTACAGAACCTAGTTAGAGAACTGAGGGGTTATTTATTGTGCCCTCTGAATAATGCAATTCACCATGTTCCTTCCCAGCTAGGGAGAGTCTGAAATCTCATAAATCATTACAACTAAAAGGTAGTGCCTTTACAGCAAAAGAAACTACCATCAGAGTGAACAGGCAACCTACAGAATGGGAGAAAATTTTTTGCAATCTACCCATCTGACAAAGGGCTAATACCCAGAATCTAAAAAGAACTTAAACAAATTTACAAGAAAAAAATCAAACAACCCCATCAAAAAGTGGGTGAAAGATATGAACAGACACTTCTCAAAAGAAGACATTTATGCAGCCAACAGACCCATGAAAAAATGCTCATCATCACTGGCCGTCAGAGAAATGCAAATCAAAACCACAATGAGATACCATCTCACACCAGTTAGAATGGCGATCATTAAAAAGTCAGGAAACAACAGGTGCTGGAGAGGATGTGGAGAAATAGGAACACTTTTACACTGTTGGTGGGACTGTAAACTAGTTCAAACATTGTGGACGACAGTGTGGTGATTCCTCAAGGATCTAGAACTAGAAATACCATTTGACCCAGCCATCCCATTACTGGGTATATACCCAAAAGATTATAAATCATGCTGCTATAAAGACACGTGCACATGTATGTTTATTGCAGCACTATTCACAATAGCAAAGACTTGGAATCAACCCAAATGTCCATCAATGATAGACTGCATTAAGAAAATGTGGCACATATACACCATGGAATACTATGCAGCCATAAAAAAGGATGAGTTCATGTCCTTTGTAGGGACATGGATGAAGCTGGAAACCATCATTCTCAGCAAACTATTGCAAGGACAGAAAACCAAACACCACATGTTCTCACTCATAGGTGGGAATCGAACAATGAGAACACTTGGACACAGGATGGGGAACATCACACACCGGGGCCTGTTGTGGGGTGGGGGGACGGGGGAGGGATGGCATTAGGAGATATATCTAATGTAAATGACGAGTTAATGAGTGCAGCACACCAACATGGCACATGTATACATATGTAACAAACCTGCACGTTATGCACATGTACCCTAGAACTTAAAGTATAATAATAAATAAATAAATAAAAGTAGTGCCTTTAATCTTGCCCAAGGTGGTCCTGCAGCCTTTCAAAGAGCTTAATTAAGCCCATAGTAAGAAATATTGTATTTTACCAGGTTATATTGTAGGTCATAGAGAATGTGATTCTGCCCTCCCCACCATCAGCAGCATGGGATATGTGTGTGTGTGTGTGTGTGTGTGTGTATGTGTGTGTGTGTTGGAGGGCAATGAAGAAAGACTAGTTGACTCACAAAATATTTGTTCTTGCCCAAGAATCTGTGGTTCTGAGAAAGACAAAGACCTAGAAGAACATCCAGATGATCGGGAGGCAGTGTTTCCTACCTTGGTCACATCAGATTCAACAACAAAGTCCACTCACTTGTCTGACAGAAGTGACCAGCCCAGTGGTTCTAGTCACCTCAGGCCTCATCTAGGTGCTCCAAAGGCCAAGAAGCTCAGTATCTTAACACAACCATGTGCCTATGCACATCAGCTCAAAAACTCTGCCTTAAGTCCAGTGACCATAGCTTATTTGTCTTTATTTCCCTAGAATCTAGCAGAGGGTTCTAGCACTCAAAAATCTTTATTGAAAGATAGACATGGGCTGGCACGGTGGCTCATGCCTGTAATCCCAGCACTTTGGGAGGCTGAGGTGGGTGGATCACCTGAGGTCAAGGAGTTCGAGACCAGCCTGGCCAACATGGTGAAACTTCGTCTCTACTAAAAACACAAAAAACAAGCCAGGCATGGTGGGGGGGACGCCTGTAATCCCAGCTACTCGAGAGGCTGAGGCAGGAGGATTGCTTGAATCCGGGAAGCGGAGGTTGGATTGAGCCAAGATCGCATTGCTACACTCCAGCCTGGGCGACAGAGCGAGATTCTGTCTCAAAAGAAAAAAGAAAGATAGACATGAACACACAGGCTCCTTCTAACCCCAGGGAATGGAAGGTGCAAGATTCAAATAGCCGAAGTCCTCAGAATACTGTCCTGACTATTCAGAATCAGCTTGATCAGAGAAACTTGATGTTAATACTCATCTGTCATTTGCATGGATTTTTTTTTAAATAATAAAATGCAGGCGACAGTGTCAGACAGGCACACATTCATTGCTGGTAGGAAGACAAACAGGTGCCACTATTCTGGAAATGTGAATCATAAACCTTAATGTTTTCATACTCTGGGACTTTTAAGAATTTTTCCAGAGGAAAAATTCAAAAATGAAAATAAAAATTTATACCTGAAGATATTTATTACAGCATTATTTTGCACAACAATAGGGCATTAGGCAAATTATCATGTGATGGAATTTTATGAAGTTTTTTGGCATCATTTATGAAGAGTTTTGGTGACATAGGAAAGTACTTCTCTTGTACTATTAGGTGATTGAAAATAGAATACAAAGTGGTTTATAAATTTTAATTTCAACCATTTAAAAATATATATATACATATCGATATTCCAAAAATAACCAAATAATCACTGAGTGATAGGGTTATCGACAATTATTGGTTTCTTGGTTTCTTCTCTTTACCTTTCTTTTATTTTCTTACTTTCCTTTTTTTTTTTTTTTTTGAGACAGTTTTGCCCTTGTCTCCCAGGCTGGAGTGCAATGGCAAGACCTCAGCTCACTGCAACCTCCATCTCTGAGGTTCAAGCGATTCTCCTTCCTCAGCCTCCCAAGTAGCTGGCATTACAGGCACCTGCCACCACCCCAGCTAATTTTTTTGTATTTTTAGTAGAGACGGGGTTTCACCATGTTGGCCAGGCTGGTCTCGAACTCCTGACCTCAGGTAATCCACCCACCTCAGCCTCCCAAAGTGCTGGGATTACAGGCGTGAGCCACCATGCCCGGCCTACCTTTCTATATTTTCTAAATTTTCTACAGTAATACTGCCTTAGTTTTATAATCATAAAATATTTAGTAAAATCATATTTATGGGATCTGTAATGAGATGGTAAATTCTTATAACAGTAAGCAAATTAAGATGCATAATTGTATATATAATATGACTACAACATTTAACCTTTGTAAAATATATATTTAGAAAGGAAAACTCCAAAATAATAACTGTGGTTGTTTTTGGGTAATAAGATTGAGCAATTCTCATTCTCCTTTCTACTTTTCTGCATTTTTCAATTTCAAACAATGAAAATATATTGATCTTATGATGATAACAGCAATAAAATTTCATGATTTTTAGTTCAAAATTTAACTCAGGCTTATTTTGGTAGAATTTTCAAAGTAGAAGATTAAGGAAAGCTAAGTTGGAGGAGGACCTAATTATTATTTGAGAAAGAGCTCTGGCAAAAACGTCAGTGAGATTAAAACAGTCTCATTGTAGCTTGAAAAAGACCCCATTCAACTCGATTTTCATAATCTAGTCTGCAGTCACTGTTAGACTTGAGAACAACAGTTAAACTTTGACATTTTCTGCACTCTAACTTTTCTTTCTATTCCAACAACTCACAGCTATGTCAATTTTTACATTTAAAGCATCTCTGGAAACAAGAAACAATGTTTAACAGACATAAAGACAATAAAAATACAATGTCTCCTTATTATCTTTTTCATCTTCAACATGTTTTTACTAAGATTCATTTGTCAAGAAATGACAGATGTGGAGAGTTTACCAAAAAAGGACACAGCCTTTAGCATATAATCAGGGAGAATTTCTTTCTACTGATCCATGTTGACATTAACTAGCAATAAGGTTGCTTGGCATTTCCTCCCTGGAAGTGAATTTGCCCCGTTACTGGAATATCTTTCTTCCGCTTCATAAATCTGATAGTGTGAGCATCAGGAAGCCCTGCTACTGTCCAACACTACTTCTAGTGGGCTAGAAAATAAGCAGCTCCATGTTTATGACAATTCTGACTACTTACGGGTGAAAAGAAACAGAAAAAAAACCAAGAAGGCTATCAAAATGCAAAATAATTCAAATGGCAAAATTAATCTCTTCCAGTTTTTGGAATATAATCTGCCAATCCCTTTGTGTTTTAATGTGCTGACAGTGAAAAGAAGAAATTAATCTCAAGAAGCATTTTAGCTGATAATGAATTATCAATTTGAAACTAAGATATTTATTCTAATGGAGCATGCAATATATCAGAGAAAGTATTTAGCAAGAAGTCTCCTTCCCCTCATCCCACCCTGAGGCTATAACACTGAGCTGCTTTACCATTAACACAGGGATTCGCTGATACACTAGGTCTTTTGAAACCTGTCCAAACATTTCTCTCTATTCTTTCTACTCATACAGTAAATTATCATGAGATGGAATTTTATAAAGCTTTTTAGGCATCAATTATGGAGAGTTTTGTTGACATAGGAAAGTACTTCTCTTGCACTATTAAGTGATTAAAAAAAGATTACAAAGTGATGCAAAGTTATAATTTCAACCATTCTAAATATATATATATATACATATTAATATTCCAAAAATAACCAAATAACCACTGAGTTATTATGGGCAATTATTGGTTTCTTCTCTTTACCTTTCTATATTTTCTAAATTCTCTAATATTAAAGTGAAAAATAGAATTTGTACACAGATAAATAAATGTCAAAGGGCTGTGGAGTAAAATATGAAGAACGGAAGAAAGGACATTGTAGCAGAGGATGCTAGCTGCTCACCAATATCTAATTGCTCTCTTTCCTGGGCACACAGGTAAACTACATTTCCCAGCCTCCCCTGAAGCTATGAGCAGTCAGTCACGTGGCTGTGTTCTGGCCAATGGATGCAGGCAGGAGAGAGACATCACTTCTGGACCTGGACCAGAACAACCTCCATGTGCAATCCAGTCTCTCTGGCTTCACCTGCCAGTTGAATGGAGAAGTCCTCAATGACATTAAAAAGAAAAGGAAAGAAAAACTGTGAGGAAATAGCAGAGGAGAGCTGCCCAGGAACTGCTTGTCCACAAATGCTCATATTGAACTATTACATGAGCAAAAACTAAACTTTTATTATGTTAAGCCACTGAAATGTTGGGGTTGTTTGTTTTAGCAGTTAGTCTACCTTACGACCATAATTACATCTATTTAAACAACTGTTGAAACAGCCATCCACATAGAGAACTTCACCTATGTTATATCCATGATGAAAAGCAGAAACTTAAAAAATGACAAATTTGTGTTTTCAGCCCACAGATAAATAATTCAAATTACTGTTTGATTTCACAAATCCCTTGTTCTCTAGATGTGGTGAAACATTTAAAAAGTTTTTGCTAACTTGGTGGCCATCAATCTGAGAACATCACATCACTCTGCATAGGATGTGATTAGATTTAGATTTGGAGGAAGACATCACAGAAGAGGTAGCATTTCAACTCAGTCTTGAAATATGAGAAAGAGCAAAACATGTGATTAGTGTCCAAGAATTTTAAACAGGAAAGGGTTCTTAAGATAAGAAAACTAAGAGCCAGAGAGGCTGGAACTTGTCCAAGGTCACACTACCATACTGTAGCAATCCTTGGTTTAGATGAGGAATTCCTTCACTTCCAGGCTAATATTTCTTGTCTTTCCCATTTTCCTCCATATTAACTCACATAGCAAAGTATGTTTTGTGAATTGTCTGTTATTAGGCAATGACTGCATGCATTTTCAAAATTTTTAATATCTGTCTACACACACACATGTTCATAAACATACCTGCATGTATGTAGGTATGTTCCTAGCTGAACCACAGCAGATCCTCTAATACAATTGTGTCCATAATTAAGGAATACTTCTCCATTCCTGCTGACTTCAAATTGCAAATATCTAGCCACATACACTATGTGGTAACTAGTCTCCTAAGATGGACACCAAATTTCACGCCTCGTGGTATCCATGCCCTCGTGTGGTTCTCTCCTACACCGACTTAAGATTTCCAATCGAAAGTGGTCAAAGTGGCACGGCACCAATTTCAGCCTTTAAAAGGACTGGCTGCTGCTTCTTCCTCCCTCTTGGAACATTCCATTTGTGGAATCCAGAGCCACAGTGTAAGAAGTACAGCCATGTAATTAGGGTGGGCGCAGTGGCTCATGCCTGCAATCCCAGCACTCTGGGAGGCTAAGGCGGGTGGATCACTTGAGGTCAGGGGTTCGAGACCAGCCTGGCGAACATGGTGAAACTATGTCTCTACTAAAAATACAAAAATTAGCCAGGCGTGGTGGCACATGCCTGCAATCCCAGCTACTCAGGAGGCTGAGGCACAAGAATCGCTTGAACCTGGGAGGTGGAAGTTGCAGTGAGCTGAGATCATGCCATTGCACTCCAGCCTAGGCCTGGGTGACAGAGTGAGATTCTGTCTCAAAAAAGAAGGAAGGAAGTACAGCTACATGACTAGAAAGACCACACAGAGAGGCCATATGGAGAAGGAAAGAGACCTAGCTGTCTCGGGATCCCAGTTGCAACCACCAGTTGACCCCCACCACAGCCAACATCTTACTGCAGCCACAAGAAAGATCCCAGTTAAACCAGTAGAACTTCATGGCTGTGCTCAGTCAACCACAGAACAATGAGAGCTAATAAACTGGTTATTGTTTAAGTACTCATAAGTTTTAAGTTTAAGCAATACACGACCAAAACAGGACTTGATTCATAGAAGTAGGGTGTTGCCATAACAAAACCCTAAAACATATGGCATGGGCTTTGGAATTCAGTGGCAGGCAGAAGCTGGAAAGCTCCTTAAGGAGGTGAATAGTGAAGACTCGAAGGACACCGAAGAAATTGCTATTGGAAACTGGAGAAAACGTGACCTGAATTATGTGCAGACCAATTAGCAAAACTATCCCCTGTAGCATGGAAGACAGGAAGAATATGTCGTAAACAGATAGCTCTGGCTAGGAGATTTTCAGTCAGAATGCAGTCAGCTTCTCTGTATCCATGGGTTCTGCCTCCACGGGTTCCTCATCCATTGGCTCAACCAACCATGGGTGGAAAATACTCAAATAAATAATAATAGTACAGCAATAAAAATAATACCCATTTTTAAAATGTAGTACCACTATTTACATAGCATTTACATTGTATCTGATATTATAAGTAATCTAGAGATGTTTTAAAGTATACGGAAGGATGTGCATAGTTTATATGCAAATACTCTACCATTTTATATAAGGGACTTGAGCATCCTCGCATTCTGGTATCTGCAGTGTTCCTGGAACCAATTCCCCACACATACGACTGTATCAAAAGCACCAACTGGCTTCTTTTGGCTGCCTGTGTTAACATACAGGAGGAGAAACATGAACTAAAAAAGTAATTCTTCAGTTTTTAACCAAAATTAGGAGAAAATATACAGAATTTAGGACTTTCTGGATTCAAAAATAAAACTTTCTCTTTTCTAGCTCCTCCAGGCAGCAAAAGATCCTGGAAGAGATGACCTCACAGCAAAGATCAAATCCAGGACTCTTCTGGCAAAACATGATCCCAGGAGTAATTTTGCATCAGTGAGGTAGCCAATTTGTTGAGACCTTAGGAAGTGTTGAGGATATTCCTCATAGACCCTTTTATCTACACAGAAAGACTTCTAAGAACCTTAAATGGTATGTCTTATAAACACTCTCACCCAGACAATAGAGCTTCTAAGAATATTAAGACATTGTCCCACAGCACCCTGATTCACAGGCCAAGGTAGAGGGGGTCTGTCTCAAAAACAATTGTGTATGTGGCTTCTGTCTAATCGAGTGACCCTGTAAGGTTGATAGGACACTGGCACAGTTCAAGAGAACTGTACCATCAGCTTGGACTAAAAGATGCAAACATAGTTTAAAATGAAAAGAAGTCTGATATATGTTCATCAGCTTGCTCCTTTCCCCCCGTGGACGCCGCCAAAGAAGCATAGTTAAAGTCTCTCTTCTTCCTGCTGTCATGTCTAAGTCAGAGTCTCCTAAAGAGCCCGAACAGCTGAGGAAACTCTTCATTGGAGGGTTGAGCTTTGAAACAACCGATGAGAGCCTGAGGAGCCATTTTGAGCAATGGGGGAACACTCACAGACTGTGTGGTAATGAGAGATCCAAACACCAAGTGCTCCACGGGCTTTGGTTTTGTCATATATGACACTGTGGAGGAGGGGGATGCAGCCATGAATGCCAGGCCACACAAGGTGGATGGAAGAGTCATGGAACCAAAGAGAGCTGTCTCAAGAGAAGATTCTCAGAGACCAGGTGCCCACTTAACTGTGAAAAAGATATTTGTTGGTGGCATTAAAGAAGACACTGAAGAACATCACCTAAGAGATTATTTTGAGCAGTGTAGAAAAATTGAAGTGACTGAAATCATGACTGACAGAGTCAGTGGCAACAAAAGGGGCTTTGCCTTTGTAATCTTTGACAACCATGACTCTGTGGATAAGATTGTCATTCAGAAATACCACACTGTGAATGGCCACAACTGTGAAGTTAGGAAAGCCCTGTGAAAGCAAGAGATGGCTAATGCTTCGTCCAGCCAAAGAGGTCGAAGTTGTTCTGGAAACTTTGGTCGTGGTCGTGGAGGTGGTTTTGGTGGGAATGACAACTTTGGTCATGGAGGAAACTTCAGTGGTCGTGGTGGCTTTGGTGGCAGCCATGGTGGTGGTGGATATGGTGGCAGTGGGGATGGCTATAATGGATTTGGTAATGATGGAAGCAATTTTGGAAGTGGTGGAAGCTACAATGACTTTGGCAATTACAACAGTCTTCAAATTTTGGACCCATGAAGGGAGGATTGGAGGCAGAACCTCTGGCCCCTATGGTGGTGGAGACCAATACTTAGCCAAACCATGAAACCAAGGTGGCTATGGCTGTTCCAGTAGCAGCAGTAGCTATGGCAGTGGCAGAAGCTTAGCAGGATAGGAGAGCCAGAGAAGTGACAGGGAAGCTACAAGTTACAACAGATTTGTGAACCCAGCAAAACACAGTGGTGGCATGGCCTAGCTGCTACAAAGAAGACATGTTTTAGACAAGTACTCATGTGTATGGGCAAAAAGCTCGAGGACTGTATTTGTGACTAATTGTATAACAGGTTATTTTAGTTTCTGTTCTGTGGAAAGTGTAAAGCATTCCAACAAAGGATTTTGAAATGTAGATTTTTTTTTGCACCCATGCTATTGATTGCTAAATGTAATAGTCTGATCGTGATGCTGAATAAATGTCTTTAAAAAAAATGAAAAGAAGTCGCTGGGCCATAGGTTTATATTGATAGAAAGAAAGCTGAGGAAGCTACTCAGCTGTAAATACAGGCCATTTCTTATGCAAAAGGAAAGATGACTCAGAGGGTGAAAACAAAGCCTAAATGGTGGAACCAAGAGCCACAGAGGACCACTCTAGGGAGTAGAAATGAATTTTGGTCAAAGAATTGGCAAAATTTTCTCAACTTAATTTCAGAATTGCTATGAACCAGTGACTGCTCTATGCTTCCTGTTTTCCCTTTCATGAATGGGATTTCTATTTCAGTTTTTCATCACTGCCTAGCCATTGTATTTGTGTTTTGGGTGGGAAGCGGATTATTTGTCTTTTTACTTCATCAGTCTTCAGGTTGACGATAGCTGAACCCAAGAAACCTTAAGCTCACCTAGATATGATTCAGATGACATGATCCTGGATTTAAAGCCCAAACCTGATGCCATGGTATGAGTAGACTTCAATGGTCTTGGAAGGGAGAAAAATGTATTTTGCATGAAGGAAGGACATACATTATTGAGAAACAGAGGGTGGACTGTGGTGGCTAGTCTCTAAGGATGGCCATCCATTGTACCATGACACTCAGTATTCATATCCTTGCATAAAACCCTCCCACATTGAATCTGGGCTGGCCTGTGACTTGAGTTAACCAGTAGAATTCAGCAAAAGTGATGCTACACTATTTCTAAGCCTAGCCTTTAAAAGGATGGACTGATTTTTTTTTCCTCCATCTTGGAATGCTGGCTTTGGGAAACCCTAAGCTGCCACGTAAAAAGTCCCGTGACAGAGGCCACATGGAGTGGCCATAAGAACAGAAGAGGTCTTCCAACTCAAATGTCCACCAATGATAGACTGGATTAAGAAAATGTGGCACATATACACCATGGAATACTATGCAGCCATAAAAAAGGATGAGTTCACGTCTTTGTAGGGACATGGATGAAGCTGGAAACTATCATTCTCAGCAAGATATCACAAGGACAAAAAACCAAACACCACATGTTCTCACTCATAGGTGGGAATTGAACAATGAGAACACATGGACACAGGAAGCGGGACATCACAATGGGGCCTGCTGTGGGGTTGGGGGAGGGGGGAGGGATAGCATTTGGAGATATACCTAATGTTAAATGACGAGTTACTGGGTGCAGCACACCAACATGGCACATGTATATATATGTAACTAACCTGCATGTTGTGCACATGTACCCTAAAACTTTGAGTATAATTAAAAAAGAAAAAAAAAGAACAGAAGAGGTCTTGAGTCTACTTAGAGAATGAACAGGCACATTGATTGCAGTAAAGTCCAGATGACTCTAACCACAGTCACCAACTGACGGCAACCATATGAGAAATTCCAAGTGAAACGAGCAGAACTGCCCACCTGAGTCAACCCATGAAACTATGAGAGATAATAAAACGATGGTTATTTTAAGCCACTAGGTTTTAGAGATACTTGTTAACAGCAAAGATGATCAAAACATACTTATTTGCATGACTCCTGAGGACTCCATGGCAATGAGTTTGAACCTATGTACAACCAAGTTTCAGAAATATATAGGCATGTCCAGTGGGCTTGGGAAGAGGGCCACCATAAGCCAGACTCCAGAGAGGAGTCTGCCACAGTGAGCCAGGTCTGAGGATAAGTGTTTAATAGATGGAAACATTTGTTCTGAGTTCAAATGAGGCTCAACTCAAGCCACCCTCATCCAACCACCCGGTTCCCTATATAATATGGGGCTAAAAAGCAAAAGCAAGATTATCAGAAAAAAGTTATATAAAAAAACCTTATCATTATGAGCCTAAGCAATTCTGCCAGAAAGATACCTTTTTTCTCTTCCACCTCACTCTCATCCCTTGTCCCAATCCCTACCGAAGAGTGGAGCAAAAAAAAATGTAACCAACAAGCCAGAGAAAGGAGTGAACACCAAAGGTGGGAAACAGGTTAGTTCCCCTGGGTACACACTCCAAGTACACCAATAGAGAGGTTAGGCACCATCAATGTGGACAATGTGGACAAATCGTTATTAATAATTAATGAGGGACAATGAGGGAAGCTGCCAAAACAGAAGGCTGGCAGACATAGGATGTTGACATAAACTACATGAGAAACAAACTCCCATTTTTGTAGATTCACAGAGAGAAGAAAGATTGAGGTAAGGTGAGAAGGTAAGGTGAGCGATGCTATTAATTGACACACATATAGGGAAAAACAGTTGAAGTCATCTCATCCAGGAGCCAGAAGCTTGTTGGGGACATTTGGGTTACATATGTGAATCCTTTATTGAACTTATCACAGAGAGCAAATACCATATTCTTAATCATCTTTCTATCTGTAGTTCCCAGGACCATGCCTGGTACAGAGTAGGTCTCAATCAGTATTGGCTTAGAAATATTATGGCAATCAGAAATAAATAAAAAAGTGGCTTGGGGTGGTGGCTCACACCTGTAGTCCCAGCACTTTGGGAGGCCGAGGTGGGCAGATCACTTGAGGTCAGGAGTTTGAGACCAGCCTGGCAAACATGGCAAAACTTCATCTCTACTAAAAAATACAAAAAAAAAAAAAAAAAAAAAATAGCCAGGCATTGTGGTGCAGGCCTGTAATCCCAGCTACTTGGCAGGCTGAGGCAGGAGAATTGCTTGAACCCAGGAAGCAGAGATTGCAGTGAGCCAAGATGATGCCACTGCACTCCAGCCTGGGCAACAGAGTGAGACTCTGTTTCAAAAAAAAAGAGAGAGCCGTTTCAAGATGGCCGAATAGGAACAGCTTCAGTCTGCAGCTCCCAGTGTGATCAATGCAGAAGACGGGTGATTTCTGCATTTTCAACTGAGGTCCCTGGTTCATCTCATTGGTTCTGGTTGGACAGTGGGTGCAGCCCACAGAGGGCAAGCCGAAGCAGGGCGGGGTGTCACCTCACCCAGGAAGCATGAAGGATCAGGGGATTTCCCTTTCCTAGCCAAGGGAAGTCGTGACAAACTGTACCTGGAAAAACGGCACACTCCCACTCAAATACTGCACTTTTCCAACCATCTTAGAAAACGGCACACCAGGAGATTATATCCTGCCCCTGGTTCAGTGGGTCCCATGCCCACAAAGCCTTGCTCACTGCTAGCACAGCAGTCTGAGATCAGCCTGCGAGGCAGCAGCCCAGCAGGGGGAGGGGCGTCCGCCATTGCTGAGGCTTGAGTAGGTAAACAAAGTGGCTGGGAAGCTCGAACTGGGCAGAGCCCACTGCAGCGCAGCAAGGCTTGCTGCCTCTATAGGCTCCATCTCTGGGGGCAAGGCATAGCTGAACAAAAGGCAGAGAAACATCTGCAGACTTAAACATCCCTGTCTGACAGCTCTGAAGAGAGCAGTGGTTCTCCCAGCATGGTGTTTGAGCTCTGAGAACAGACAGACTGCCTCCTCAAGTGGGTCCCTGACCCCCATGTAGCCTAACTGGGAGACACCTCCCAGTAGGGGCTGACTGACACCTCATACTGCCGTGTGCCCCTCTGTGACAAAGCTTCCAGAGGAAGGATCAGGCAGCAATATTTGCTGTTCCGCAATATTTGCTGTTCTACAGCCTCCACTGGTGATACCCAGGCACACAGTGTCTGAAATGAATCTCCAGCAAACTCCAACAGACCTGCAGCCAACGGACCTGACTGTTAGAAGGAAAAATAACAAACAGAAAGGGATAGCATCAACATCAACAAAAAGGACATCCACACCAAAACCCCATCTGTAGGGCACCAACATCAAAGACCAAAGGTAGATAAAACCACAAAGATGGGAGAAACCAGAACAGAAAAGCTGAAAATTCTAAAAACCAGAGCACCTCTTCTCCTTCAAAGGATCGCAGCTCCTCGCAAGCAACGGAACAAAGCTGGATGGAGAATGACTTTGACAAGTTGACAGAAGTAGGCTTCAGAAGGTTGGTAATAACAAACTTCTCCAAGCTAAAGGAGGATGCTTGAACCCATCGCAAGGAAGCTAAAAACCTTGAAAAAAGATTAGACAATTGGCTAACTAGAATAAACAGTGTAGAGAAGACTTTAAATGACCTGATAGAGCTGAAAACCATGGCACAAGAACTACATGACACATGCCCAAGCTTCAATACCTGATTCAATCAAGTGGAAGAAAGGGTATCAGTGATTGAAGATGAAATTAATGAAATAAAGCAAGAAGTTTAGAGAAAAAAGAGTAAAAAGAAATGAACAAAGCCTCCAAGAAATATACGACTATGTAAAAAGACCAAATCTACGTTTGATTGATGTACCTGAAAGTGACGAGAATGAAACCAAGTTGGAAAACACTCTTCAGGATATTATCCAGGAGAACTTTCCCAACCTAGCAATGCAGGCCAATATTCAAATTCAGGAAATACATAGAACACCACAAAGATACTCCCCAAGAAGAACAACCCCAAGACACATAATTGTCAGATTCACCAAGGTTGAAATGAAGGAAAAAATGTTAAGAGAAGCCAGAGAGAAAGGTCAGGTTACCCACAAAGGGAAGCCCATCAGACTAACAGTGGATCTCTTGGCAGAAACTCTACAAGCCAGAAGAGAGTGGGGTCAATATTCAACATTCTTAAAGAAAAGAATTTTTAACCCAGAATTTCATATCCAGCCAAACTAAGCTTCGTAAGTGAAGGAGAAATAAAATCCTTTACAGACAAGCAAATGCTGAGAGATTTTGTCACCACCAGGCCTGTCTTACAAGAGCTCCTGAAGGAAGCACTAAACATGGAAAGGAACAACTGTACCAGCCACTGCAAAAACATGCCAAATTGTAAAGACCATCGATACTAGGAAGAAACCACATCAATTAATGGGCAAAATAACAAGCTAACATCATAATGACAGGATCAAATTCACACATAACAATATTTACCTTAAAAATAAATGGGCTAAATGCTCCAATTAAAAGACACAGACTGGCAAATTGGATAAAGAGTCAAGACCCATCAGTGTGCTGTATTCAGGAGACACATCTCATGCTCAAAGACACACATAGGCTGAAAATAAAGGGATAGAGGAAGATCTACCAAGCAAATGGAGAACAAAAAAAAGCAGGGGTAGCAATCCTAGTCTCTGATGAAACAGACTTTAAACCAACAAAGATCAAAAGAGACAAAGAAGGCCATTACATAATGGTAAAGGGATCAATTCAACAAGAAGAGCTAACTATCCTAAATACATATGCACCCAATACAGGAGCACCCAGATTCATAAAGCAAGTCCTTGGAGACCTACAAAGAGACTTAGACTCCCACACAATAATAATGGGAGACTTTAACACCCCACTGTCAATATTGGACAGATCAATGAGACAGAAGGTTAACAAGGATACCCAGGACTTGAACTCAGCTCTGCACCAAGTGGACCTAATAGACATCTACAGAACTCTTCACCCCAAATCAACAGAATATACATTCTTCTCAGCACCACATTGCACTTATTCCAAAATTGACCACATAGTTGGAAGTAAAGCACTCCTCAGCAAATGGAAAATAGAAATCACAACAAACTATCTCTCAGACCACAGTGCAATCAAATTCGAACTCAGGATTAAGAAACTCACTCAAAACAGCTCAACTACATGGAAACTGAATAACCTGCTCCTGAATGACTACTGGGTAAATACCGAAATGAAGGCAGAAATAAAGATGTTCTTTGAAACCAATGAGAAAAAAGACACAACGTACCAGAATCTCTGGGACACATTTAAAGCAGTGTGTACAGGGAAATTTATAGCACTAAATGCCCACAAGAGAAAGCAGGAAAGATCTAAAATCAATACCCTAGCACCACAATTAAAAGAACCAGAGAAGCAAGAGCAAACAAATTCAAAAGCCAGCAGAAGGCAAGAAATAACTAAGATCAGAGCAGAACTGAAGGAGATAGAGACACAAAAAAACCTTCAAAAAATCAATGAATCCAGGAGCTGGTTTTTTGCAAAGATAAACAGAACTGATAGACCGCTAGCAAGACTAATGAAGAAGAAAAGAGGGAAGAATCAAATAGACACGATAAAAAATTATAAAGGGGATATCACCACCAATCCCATGGAAATACAAACTACCATCAGAGAATACTATAAACACCTCTAAGCAAATAAACTAGAAAATCTAGAAGAAATGGATGAATTCCTGGACACATACACTCTCCCAAGACTAAAGCAGGATGAAGTGGAATTTCTGAATAGACCAATAACAGGCTCTGAAATTGAGCCAATAATTAATAGCCTGCCAACCAAAAAAAGTCCAAGACCAGACGGATTCACAGCCTAATTCTACCAGAGGTACAAAGAGAAGCTGGTACCATTCCTTCTGAAACTATTCCAATGAAAAGAAAAAGAGGGAATCTTCCCTAACTCATTTTATGAGGCCAGCATCATCCTGATACCAAAGTCTGGAAGAGACACAACAAAAAAAAGAGAATTTTAGACCAATATCCCTGATGAAGATCAATGCAAAAATCCTCAATAAAATACTGGCAAACCGAATTCAGCAGCACATCAGAAAGCTTATCCACCATGATCAAGTTGGCTTCATCCCTGGGATGCAAGTCTGGTTCAACATACACAAATCAATAAATGTTAATCCTTCACATAAACAGAACCAATGACAGAAACCACATGTTTATCTCAATAGATGCAGAAAAAGTCTTCAACAAAATTCAACAGCCTTTCATGCTAAAAACTCTCAATAAACTAGGTATTGATGGAGTGTATCTCAAAATAATAAGAGCTATTTATGACAAACCCACAGCCAATATCATACTGAATGGGCAAAAACTGGAAGCATTCCCTTTGAAAACCAGCACAAGACAAGGATGCCCTCTCTCACCACTCCTATTCAACATAGAGTTGGAAGTTCTGGCCAGGGCAATCAGGCAAGAGAAATAAATAAAGGGTATTGAATTAGGAAAAGAGGAAGTCAAATTGTTCCTGTTTGCAGATGACATGATTGTATATTTAGAAAACCCCATCGTCTCAGCCCAAAATCTCCTTAAGCTGATAAGCAACTTCAGCAAAGTCTCAGGATACAAAATCAATGTGCAAAAATCACAAGCATTCTTATACACCAATAACAGACAGACAGAGAGCCAAATCATGAGTGAACTCCCATTCACAATTGCTTCAAAGAGAATAAAATACCTAGGAATCCAACTTACAAGGGATGTGAAGGACCTCTTCAAGGAGAACTACAAACCACTGCTCAATGAAATAAAAGAGGACACAAACAAATGGAAGAACATTCCATGCTCACGGATAGGAAGAGTCAATATCATGAAAATGGCCATACTGCCCAAGGTAATTTATAGATTCAATGCCACCCCATCAAGCTACCAAAGACTTTCTTCACAGAATTGGAAAAAACTACTTTAAAGTTCATATGGAACTAAAAAAGAGCCCACATTGGAGAGACAATGCTAAGCAAAAAGAACAAAGCTGGAGGTATCATGCTACCTGACTTCAAACTATACTACAAGGCAACAATAACCAAAACAGCATGGTACTGGTACCAAAACAGAGATGTAGACCAATGGAACAGAACAGAGGCCTCAGAAATAACACCACACATCTACAACCATCTGATCTTTCACAAACCTGACACACACAAGCAATTCCCTATTTAATAAGTAGTGCTGGGAAAACTGGCTAGCCATATGTAGAAGGCTGAAACTGGATCCCTTCCTTAAACCTAATAAAAAAATTAATTCAAGATGGATTAAAGACTTAAATGTTAGACCTGAAACCATAAAAACCCTAGAAGAAAACCTAGGCAATACCATTCAGGACATAGGCATGGGCAAGGACTTCATGACTAAAACACCAAAAGCAATGGCAACAAAAGCCAAAATAGACAAATGGGGGGGAGGTGGGGCGGAGCGCGGGAGGCCGGTTGAGAGGCGCCCATCCGGCGGTTACCCGGTACTTCATAAAGCCGCTCTCGCCGCTGGCTGTCGCGGCGTCTTGCCTCCGCAGCAGCTCTGGGCTCTTCTCAGCTGCAGGAGCAGCTGCTCCAATGCCCCAGAGTGGCCATGGGCGCCCCGCACTGGTGGGACCAGCTGCAGGCTGGCAGCTCGGAGGTGGACTGGCGCGAGGACAACTACACCATCGTGCCTGCTGTCGCCGAGTTCTATAACATGATCAGCAATGTCTTATTTTTCATTTTACCGCCCATCTGCATGTGCTTGTTTCGTCAGTATGCAACATGCTTCAACAGCGGCATCTACTTAATCTGGACTCTTGGTTGTAGCGGGAATTGGATCCGTCTACTTCCATGCAACCCTTAGTTTCCTGGGTCAGATGCTTGATGAACTTGCAGTCCTTTGGGTTCTGATGTGTGCTTCGGTCATGTGGTTCCCCAGAAGGTATCTACCAAAGATCTTTCGGAATGACCAGGGTAGGTTCAAGGTGGTGGTCTGTGTCCTGTCTGCAGTTATGACGTGCCTGGCATTTGTCAAGCCTGCCATCAACAACATCTCTCTGATGACCCTGGGAGTTCCTTGCGCTGCACTGCTCATCACAGAGCTAAAGAGGTGTGACAACATGCGTGTGTTTAAGCTGGGCCTCTTCTCGGGCCTCTGGTGGACCCTGGCCCTGTTCTGCTGGATCAGTGACCGAGCTTTCTGCGAGCTGCTGTCATCCTTCAACTTCCCCTACCTGCACTGCATGTGGCACATCCTCATCTGCCTTGCTGCCTACCTGGGCTGTGTATGCTTTGCCTACTTTGATGCTGCCTCAGAGATTCCTGAGCAAGGCCCTGTCATCAAATTCTGGCCCAGCGAGAAATGGGCCTTCATTGGTGTCCCCTATGTGTCCCTCCTGTGTGCCAACAAGAAATCATCAGTCAAGACCACGTGATGGCAAGATGGTGGCTGGCTTCTCTGCTTATCGCCCCTCATGCAGTGGGCTTCCTTTGCTAGGAAGACAGCCAAGGGAGTTCAAATAGTTGGGGAGTGGGCTATCTTTTCAAAAATCTATTTGCTGGGGCTCTTAATTTCTTTAGTGTTCTTTGTATGTAGGGATTTAAGCTTTGTCATATGGTACAAATATTCCCTGCCCCCCTGCAGTTTCCCATTTGTCTTTCAGTATGTTAATATTTTTGTGCCATACTGGTTTTAAACTTTCATGTTGTCATATCTGTTAATCTTTTCCTTAGGATTTCTGGATTTTCTGTAATTTTTAAAAAGATCCCCTCCTCCTCACTAATGTGTCTGTGGACTACCTGGATTCCACTGTGCAAGGGGAAAAGTGTCTATTCCTTTCCCAAAAACGGAAAATGGAGGGCTTAGGGACACTAGATGCATCTTTCTCAGCATCACTTCCAGATGCAGTGACTTGTTGGGCTGTGTCCTTAATGGCCATGGCAGAGCAGTCCCTTGGGGGAACCAGCCCTGTACAATGCATCTCTTCCTGGAGAAAGCTGGCCTGCTCCAGACCCCACCATTCCCAGGCGCCCTTGGAGTGGACTCTACTGATGACAGACAGACCCTCTGACAGACAAGACCTTCTGACTCTGTGATGGAAGATGCCAGAGATTTTCCTTTGGGGTAATTGTCCTTAAACAAAACCAAACAGATGAAACACACACAGGACTTGTGGCTAAAAAGACTAGTTTTTCACTTGCATTTCTCAACTAACCCAGGTTTTACATGCATCTGCGAATCCTTTTACTACTACCTCTGTGGAGAGATGGAGAGATGGAGAGACTTCAGATAAACGTGCAGCTAATGAGTAAAACCCTCTCTGCCAAAACCTACACTCCACTTTAGGCCATTCTTGAAGAAGAGCACAATTTTTAAACACTGACATCACTTCCGCTTCCCCTTCCCACCCCAGCTCAGCAGCCTCAAATCCACAGAGAAGAAGACTTATGGCATGAACATTCCCACAGACCCACCATCTTTAAGACTTGACCTCCATTAAGTTTACCAAAGGGCTCCTCACAATTGTGGTGGGGGTTCTGGTTCAAAATTTGGAGCAAACATGAAGTTTTTGGAAACTTTTTCTCATTCGAAGCCTCCAGTATGCTGTACTATTCTGGAAATTACCCTCAAGAGTCTCACTTCTTGTTTCTGTTGTGTTTTCTGTGGGCATCATGCTCTTCACTCTTGCAGTAGAAGGTGCTTTCTGGATTTCCCAGAGTATCCAATGGCTCACTTTTCTCAAGTGCTGGCAGTAACTATGCACTCGTGGGCTGGTTTGGGTCGCTGGTGCAGCAGCGCAAATCTGTTGCCTTCTGAATTTTTCTCACCTACTGTGACACCGGCTACAATGAATCTTCTCTTCATCGGGCTGAATGAAAGATTCAAGAACCGTCTTCAAGGTGCATGGTGGGAATTATCAACCTCAGGGATACTCATTTTAACTCAGGTGTGTCCTGCTTTGTAACATTCCATTGTTGAGAGAGGGCAGGACAGGTGTGTTCTTGTGTGGGCAGGAGTGATGTCACTGTCCTACATATGTAAGAGTTGGGAAGGTGACGATTTTTGACACATCCAGGAACTCTTACTCTAGTTAGAATTTGTACAAGATCCAAGGTGAAAACCCCAATAAGCAACTGAATTTAGAGTTTAAAAATGAATAACTTTATGCTACATCTGTGGTTATCAAATTGTATAGGTTGTTCAGGAGCAGAATCCTGTTTGTAGTAAGAAATCTTTGTGGAACCCCAGTGTGTGAAATAAATTGTATTTTATTAACTTAAAAAAAATAGACAAATGGGATCTAACTAAACTAAAGAGCTACTGCACAGCAAAAGAAACTACCATCAGATTGAACAGGCAACCTATAGAATGGGAGAAAATTTTTGCAATCTACCCATCTGACAAAGGGCTAATACCCAGAATCTACAAAGAACTTAAACAAATTTACAAGAAAAAAATCAAACAGCCCTATCAAAAAGTAGGCAAAGGATATGAAGAAACACTTTTCAAAAGAAGGCATTTATGCAGCCAACAGACATATGAAAAAAAGCTCATCATCACTGGTCATCAGAGAAATGCAAATCAAAACCACAATGTCATACCAACTCACGCCAGTTAGAATGGTGATCATTAAAAAGTCAGGAAACAACAGATGCTGGAGAGGATGTGGAGAAGTAGGAACGCTTTTACACTGTTGGTGGGAGTGTAAATTAGTTCAACCATTGTGGAAGACAGTGTGGCGATTCCTCAAGGATCTAGAACTAGAAATACCATTTGACCCAGCCATCCCATTACTGGGTATATACTGAAAGGATTATAAATCATGCTACTATAAAGACACATGCACATGTATGTTTATTGTGGCACTATTCACAATAGCAAACACTTGGAACCAACCCAAATGTCCATCAATGATAGACTGGATTAAGAAAATTTGGCACATATACACCATGGAACACTATGCAGCCATAAAAAAGGATGAGTACATGTCCTTTTTAGGGACTTGGATGAAGCTGGAAACCATCATTCTGAGCAAACTATCACAAGGACAGAAAACCAAACACCACATGTTCTCACTCATAGGTGGGAATTGAACAGTGAGAACACTAGGACACAGGGAGGAGAATGTCACACATTGGGGCCTGTCCTGGGGTGGGAGGCTGGGGGAGGGATAGCATTAGGAGAAATACCCAATGTAAATGACGAGTTAATGGGTGCAGCAAACCAACATGGCACATGTATACATATGTAACAAACCTGCACGTTGTGCACATGTACCCTAGAACTTAAAGTATAATAATAAAAAAAAGAAAGAAATGAAAAAGTTATAATGACCTGAACTGGAGTCAAATATGCATTATGGATTCATCTGTTATTTGGAATGGCCCTTTGTGTTTAAGTCAAACTATGATTGCAGTATGTCAGGTGGAAAAGTCACTGGTAAATACTAAGAGTAAAATATGAGTCATCCCAATTGATATTGGCTATAACTCAACCAAAATGGGGGATGTCCAGAAATATAGTCAATCGGTGATGGGAGAGAGGTGTGATAATGAGTCTTTTTACTATTATAGGAATCCATTTGTCTCATCAATCACCTTCCATGTGCAGAAAGCTAAGGGGAATAATACCATCTCCTTAAGAAAGTGACAGATCAAGACAAAGCACACACACTTATTGAGAACCAGTTTACACAGTATAGAAAGGTCCTGTTAATTATGTTACTTCTCCTGATACCTTCCTTAATAAACACCCTGAGGTTACTAGGATAACATGAGGAAGTCGGAGCCTAGTCTGACTAATGGATACTCAGGAAACTTTATTGATTTCATGATACCAAGCTCCAGGACTCAACTTTGATAAAGGTTATATGAAGTATTAGATTGGTGCAAAAGTAGTTGCGGTTTTTGCCATTAGTTTGAATGGGGAGAAAAAAACCCACACAATTACTTTTGCAGCAACCTAGTATGTCCCTGTCCATGGCACAGTACTTTTCACAATTCCTGCCCAGTTCAGTTTCTCCCTCCTATTGTTACCAGACCCCACCACTCACCCAAGTTAGCCTTTGGGTCGGGGTTTTCCTTAGTATTGTCGCTTCCTGGTCGCCAGAAAGATGTTGCCGGACCCCATGGGTCGGTATGGACATGAAGCAACAATACTAAGGAAACCCCCGACCGAAAGGCTAACTTGGGTGAGTGGGGGGGTCCAGTAACCTCTTTCTGGTGAACCACTGAAGGGACTATAGTGCGGAAATCCCCGACCCAAAGGCTCACTTTGGATAAGTGGGGGGGGGTCTGGTAACGTCTTTATGGCGAACCATGTTAGGGATGATACTGAAGGAAACCCCCAACCCCCACCCCCACCCCCACCCAAAGGAAATAGACTGCAGCACTGATTGGCCGATTTGGGGTAAGTGGTGGGGTACCCGGGTAAATGATGAGATTGGGTTAGAGGCCCAATTTAGGACCATGTTTAGCATATCATCAAGAAACAACCATAAAAATGGGCAACCAGGGCCGGACGCAGCGGCTCACGCCTATAATCCCAGCACTTTGGGAGGCCGAGGTGGGTGGATCACAAGGTCAGGAGATTGAGACCATCCTGACTAACACGGTGAAACCCCGTCTCTACTAAAAAAAAAAAAAAAAAAAAAAAAAAAAAATTAGCCGGGCCTGGTGGCACGTGCCTGTAGTCCCAGCTACTCGGGAAGCTGAGGCAGAAGAATGGGGTGAACCCGAGAGGCAGAGTTCGCAGTGAGCCGAGATCGAGCCGCTGCACTCCAGCCTGGGCGACAGAGTGAGACTCCGTCTCAAAAAAAAAAAAAAAAAAAAGGCAACCAGCAGCTCTCGGGACTGCTCTGTCTATGGAGTAGCTATTCTTTTATTCCTTTGCTTTCTTTGCTTTCCCAATAAACTTGCTTTCACTTTACTCTATCAACTTGCCCTGAATTCTTTCTTGCGTGAAATCCAAGAACCCTCTACTGAGGTCTGCATCCGGACCCCTTTCCAGTAACACTGTCATCATTCAAACCACACCCAATAATAATTAGGAAGACTATTGTCAGGAGAGACTGCAAATATAATTTCCTTCAATTCAGTTTGGGTTTTTTTTTTTTTTTGGATGGGGGGGTAGGTGTTCAGGGAACACATCTTTTTTTTCCAGTTATACTGAAGTATAACAAATAAAAATTATATATATACATATATTTACAGTACACGCGATGTTTTGATATGTGTCTAATTGTGAAATGACTACCACAATCAGGCTAATTAACATGCTCATCACTTCACATATATTTTTTGTTTGTAGTGAGAACATTTAATTAAGATCTACTCCTAAACAAACTTCAAGTATAAAATAACAGTATTTTTAACTGTAGTCACCTAGTCACCATGCTGTGTATTAGACGTATGGAACTTATTTTCCTTCAATTCAGTTTTGTTCATCTTGTGGAGTCTTATCCATTGTTTTCTTTTGGGAGACCCTTGTACCTACCCATTAGCTGTGGAGAAACTCCCAGACAGGTCTATATCCTCGCACAGCCTGAATCATATTGCATCTCCAACATCCAATAAATACTAACTTTACATAAATCCTAAGGACACTATTTAACTATACACCAAACATTAAAACAAAAAAAGATAAAGAACATCTCTTGGTGTTGGCCACTAAAATCCATTTTACCTTCTTCTGGTAAGTGAAATTTTTCAGAACTCGTCTTTCACCTACTTTCAATATGTGAGCTTCAGAAAAGTTGAGCCCACAGCATGGTCCAGGGGTGGGCATATAACCTGGGCTTAGCTAGTTGGAACCACACTGGCCACAGTAATTGGTCCATTGATGGGTCTATTATTCACTTAAGCTCACTGAGCTAATTCTACACATTTGCTAGAGCAACTGGGAGAGGGGCTTCCTTCCCACCTTCCCACCATAAGAGGGAGTTTGCTTGAGAAAAAAGCCAATATAGAAGAAAGCAAAGCTGATAGCTGAAGAAAGAGAGCTTGGTAACATCTACTCTTGAACTTTCCAGGTAGGTGAATCAAGAAATTCTCCCTCATACTTAAAATATATTTGAGTTGGGTTTTCTATGATTAAAACTGAAAGTTTTCTGACATAAAGACATTTAAAAAATTTTAAGACACGGAGGAATGTCAATGTGGCTATGGATTAGTCTAAGATATAAAAGGGATATGGGGACCCACTTGGAACCCTACAGTTGGTATGAAAATTATTTTAAGCTGAAGATATTTGAGATTTAACAGACATGGAAAGAAGACTTTTAGGAGCTTCCCTCACATGACTAAAAGCAGCAACTTGTGGGAAAAGAGGCTTCCATATACTCCTTCTTTAGAGCAAGTCTACTCCCAAGAAGAAAACTGAGAGTACATGTACCATAAATCTCCTCTCTGGAGGAGTTTCATGGCCATGAAGAAGACAAAAAGACTGAGAGTTCCTGCATAAACAAACGTGATCATAAACTTTCTTATCTCCTACTTGTTCTCCTAAAACCCATTTTTCTTTCCTAAAGAAATCTATTTGTTCTTCCCATAGAAGTCTTTTCTACCGCCTCCCTTTTTCCTAAAGGGGTAGGTATATAAACTTATTAAAATTATTTATCAGGCTAGCTACTTCTTTTGTTAGTTCTATATGCCTATGAATAACAAGCCTTTTCCTCTTGTTTGTCTGTCTTTTGTCGGTTTAATTTACAGGCCCCCTGTTATTGAACATAAAAGGGTAGAGGAAAAGTCTTTTCCTCCTGACAAAGACAAAAGGAAGAGGATAAATGCTGAGGTATCCATGAGCTGCCAACTCTGGGTACCCAGTTCCCAGTTCCACCTGCATAGCCACCTTTAATCAGGGTAACGGACAATAAGCAGACCAAGTCAAAGAAACATGCCATTTAAAAACAAAAAAAAAGAGTAGTAATTTTTACATTAAAAAAATGTGGCCAGGCATGATGGCTCGCATCTGTAATCCCAGCACTTTGGGAGGCCAAGGTGGGTGGATTGCTTGAGCCCAAGCGTTCTAGGTCAGGCTGAGCAACATAGTGAGACTCCATCGCTACAAAAAATACAAAAATTAGCCAGGTGTGGTGGCACACGCCTGTAGTCCCAGCTACTCAGGAAGCTGAGGCAGGAGGATCTCTTGAGCCCGGGAAGCAGAGGTTGCAGTGAGCCATGATTGCATCACTGCACTCTAGCCTGGGCAACAGAGGGAGACCTTGTCTAAAAAAAAAAAAAAAAAAAAAAAAAGTTAATGATTTTCAAGTACTTATGGATATTTACTTAAACAATTTCTTAAGTTGACATTTCACCACTTTGTGAACTCCAAAGAATGCGTTATCTGAAAGTACACTAAAGCATCTATCATTCCTTAGGAAATGGCCATCATCTGATTCCTAACTGGTCTACTATTTATATGTTTTGCTGACTCATGGTTCTACCTGAGGCTGAGGGCTTCCAAACTGGCTACTGGGCACTTCAGTCTAAAATCTCAGAAAAAAACTGATCATCCCCATTCCCTGATCACTCCCAACCTCCCAACATCTATATCCCCTAGTGATTATCTGATCTGTAAATTTCCTTTTATTTGAATGCCGAATCTGTCCCAGAAATACTTCCAAGCCGTGGAACATTCTATGACCAGCTGGAATTAAAGTTACGCTAACAAAGATCTTGGCACCTTCTCTTGCAGTTTGTAAAGTTATATACAATAGTCCTTCCTGGATCTCTAAGGTCTACTCTATCTTTATTTCCATAGTAGATATTTTTAATCCCTAGAAATTACAAAATAAAATAATGTTTATAAATTGATGCCAAATTTTAAAACAAGCTATCTATAAATGCTTGGTCCAGAAATAAAGCAAATTATTAGTAAAATTTCCCTATATGCCCCCTTTGGATAATTTTCTACATCCTCCTGGCGTTCTGAAAGTCTTCATCACAATTCCCCAGGAGGGGACATCTTCTGGGCTGCTCTCTCTGGTTTTACTTTTGTCTCTTTTTTCCACTCTCTTTCCCCATTTTTTTCTTGTTCAATGTCTTGATCTCCAGATTCTGTTCTTTGTTTGCCAAATTAATTTGTAGATGAATTCTTATGTGACACAATTGCATTTTAATGTGGATATTCTAAAGAAAACATCTTAATCTACATGAATTGGAATTTCAGGCAAGATGGAAAGTGACAGAGATGCAATTTGGGGACAGAGATGCCATTCAAGTGCCTGCTCCTCAAATCATATCTAGAAGTATGTGTATATTCCACTGGCCCTACCTTTGCCCATCAGGTAACATTATTGATCAAGATCTAGCAGGAGAAGCAGCAGCCTCAAGAGAATTGAAGCATCCACCTTCCTTGTAGAATTCATCTTTTTCTGACCATACTTAGAACAATCATTTTGCAGATTTTTTAAAAAATTCTTGCTTTCAAGTTGCATCAGAAAGACTATTATGTATTTTTTTTAAAAACAAGAAGGAAATATACATGTCCATGCCAGGGCAAAGCTCTTTTTTTCCCTACCAAAACCCCAGGCCACAGGACCCTCTAAATAGCAGCCACAGATGGCTCTCTCTGTTTCTCTCTCCCACTTTCTGGCTTCTGTAAATCTAAAATAAAATTCTAAGCCCCCAAACCATCTAAATGGACCCCTCCTCTCAGCTAAGGTCATTCCAAAGTTAACCTAAAAAACCAGTTCAGGCCATAATGGGAAGTGGGGGTCAGACATGCCTCATTATACTCTCCTCTCTTTTGGAATTCAGGCATAGCTGACCAGCATTAACATCAACACAGAGACCTTAAGACTGACAGAACAGACATCTAGGAAGTGAGGAGTGTCTCTGCCCGGCCGCCCATCGTCTGAGATGTGGGGAGCGCCTCTGCCCCGCCGCCCCCTCTGGGACGTGAGGAGCGCCTCTGCCCGGCCGAGACCCCGTCTGGGAGGTGAGGAGCGTCTCTGCCCGGCCGCCCCATCTGAGAAGTGAGGAGACCCTCTGCCTGGCAACCACCCCGTCTGAGAAGTGAGGAGCCCCTCCACCCGGCAGCTGCCCCGTCTGAGAAGTGAGGAGCCTCTCCGCCCGGCAGCCACCCCATCTGGGAAGTGAGGAGCATCTCCGCCCGGCAGCCACCCCGTCCGGGAGGGAGGTGGGGCGGGTCAGCCCCCCGCCCGGCCAGCCGCCCCATCCGGGAGGGAGGTGGGGGGTCAGCCCCCCCGCCCGGCCAGCCATGCCATCCGGGAGGGAGGTGGGGGGTTCAGCCCCCCGCCTGGCCAGCCGTGCCATCCGGGAGGGAGGTGGGGGGGTCAGCCCCCCGCCCGGCCAGCCGCCCCGTCCGGGAGGTGAGGGGCGCCTCTGCCCGGCCGCCCCTACTGGGAAGTGAGGAGCCCCTCAGCCCGGCCAGCCACCCCGTCCGGGAGGGAGATGGGGGGGTCAGCCCCCCGACCCGGCCAGCCGCCCCGTCTGGAAGGGAGGTGGGGGGGTCAGCCTCCGCCCGGCCAGCCGCCCCGTCTGGGAGGTGAGGGGCGCCTCTGCCCGGCCGCCCCTACTGGGAAGTGAGGAGCCCCTCTGCCCGGCCAGCCGCCCCGTCCGGGAGGGAGGTGGGGGGGTCAGCCCCCCACCTGGCCAGCCGCCCCGTCTGGGAGGGAGGTGGGGGGGTCAGCCTCCGCCCGGCCAGCCGCCCCGTCTGGGAGGTGAGGGGCGCCTCTGCCCGGCCGCCCCTACTGGGAAGTGAGGAGCCCCTCTGCCCGGCCAGCCGCCCCATCCGGGAGGGAGGTGGGGGGGTCAGCCCCCCGCCCGGCCAGCCGCCCCGTCCGGGAGGGAGGTGGGGGGGGTCAGCCCCCCCGCCCGGCCAGCCGCCCCGTCCGGGAGGGAGGTGGGGGGGGTCAGCCCCCCGCCCGGACAGCCGCCTCGTCCGGGAGGTGAGGGGCGCCTCTGCCCGGCCGCCCCTACTGGGAAGTGAGGAGCCCCTCTGCCCGGCCACCACCCCGTCTGGGAAGTGTGCCCAACAGCTCATTGAGAACGGGCCAGGATGACAATGGCTGCTTTGTGGAATAGAAAGGCGGGAAAGGTGGGGAAAAGATTGAGAAATCGGATGGTTGCCGTGTCTGTGTAGAAAGAAGTAGACATGGGAGACTTTTCATTTTGTTCTGCACTAAGAAAAATTCTTCTGCCTTGGGATCCTGTTGATCTGTGACCTTACCCCCAACCCTGTGCTCTCTGAAACATGTGCTGTGTCCACTCAGGGTTAAATGGATTAAGGGCGGTGCAAGATGTGCTTTGTTAAACAGATGCTTGAAGGCAGCATGCTCCTTAAGAGTCATCACCAATCCCTAATCTCAAGTAATCAGGGACACAAACACTGTGGAAGGCCGCAGGGTCCTCTGCCTAGGAAAACCAGAGACCTTTGTTCACTTGTTTATCTGCTGACCTTCCCTCCACTATTGTCCCATGACCCTGCCAAATCCCCCTCTGTGAGAAACACCCAAGAATTATCAATAAAAAAATAAATTAAAAAAAAAAAAAAAAAAAAGACTGACAGAACAGACTCTTTAAGTCTGATAAGAAACATTTACAATCTATTCCCTTCTATTGATGCTATCTGCATAATGGGAACCCTGGTCTCCACAATGCTTTATCTTAACCCAGACATTGCCTTCCATTGATTCTAAGTCTTCAGACAATAATATAACTCTTCCAACCAATTGCCAATCAGAAAATCTTTTAATCTACCTATGACCTGGAAGCCCCTGCTTTGAGTTATCCTGCCTTTTGGGACTGAACCAATGTACGTCTTACATATGTTGATCGATGTCTTATATCTCCCTAAAATGTGAAAAACCAAGCTGTAGCCTGACCACCTTGGGCACATGTTCTCAGGATCTCCTGGGGGCTGTGTCACAGACCACTGGTCACAACGAAGAGCTGAACTGTTCGTTGACATTTCCATTCTCTATTTCCAAATTTCTTGATGTTTTTTGCCCATCCTGGGGCTTCCATGTGGACCTTCGCTCCCTACCCTGTCTCCTCAGATTGCTGGCTCGGGTGGACTTCCAGCTTTGATGGCCATTTCTTAGGACACTGTCTTGTGGTGATTGGTTCCCTTCAGCTCCAAGCACTATGGCTCGCCTGGCAAGTCCCGCCTTGCTATGAATCTACCGAGCTAAGGAAAACACAAGTGTATATTAGTGAGCCACACACATATTCTTCTGAAAGCAAAAACGATTTCAATGAACTTCCTCTCAACTGAAAAGCAGAAAAACATGAAAATGACACTAATTCAGGCTAAATACAGCCTACATGATGAATGAAAATATGGAATTCATTTTTAAATGAAATGTTTTCCTTTTATATATAGTAACTTAAATCAGGCTTAACATTTTATCAGATATAGGTTCTTTAGAATCTGTTTTTTTTTTTAATTTTAAGTTCAGGGGTACATGTGTAGGATGTGCAGATTTGTTACATGGGTAAACGTGTGTCATGGTGATTTGCTGCACCTATCAACCTATCACCTAGATATTAAGCCCAGCATGCATTAGCTCTTTTTCCTGATACTCTCCCTCCCCACCCTCCTGACAGGTTCCAGTGTGTGTTTAAATGCATAAAATAAGAGTTTTTATTCATTTAAATGACCTGTTTAAATGAATAAAATAAGACTTTTATTTGCAACCCGCCCACTCCAGAGCTCCCCACTTCTCTTACCCTGTTTCTTTTCTTTTTTTCCCCAAAAGCACCATCACTTTTAGAAACACTAGATGATTTAATTATTTATTTTTGTTCACTATGTGCCCTCGCTAGAATATAAGCTCAAGAGCCATGAGATTCTTTGTGTTTTTCACTGATGTATGCCAAACACCTAGAACAGCACTCGGCACATTACACATCTCAAGTAGAATTGATTGACTGAATGAATGAGAATTAGCCGGTCAAATCTAAGTATACAAAAAGGGCTTGAGAGACTTCAGTTTTTTCCATTTCCCCAGTAAATTTTTTTAGTATTATTCATTGACATATAACTTTTGTTGCTAGGTCCAAATAATCACTTCTTGTTCTTCTTTATCCCCTTAAAGACCTGAAAACATAATTTTTAAATCACTTGATAGTTTTATATTATTTTGTATTTCATTAGGAGCGGATTCTTCTCCTGATTGATGATTTTGTTACTGTCTTTTTTAGTGGTAGTTTTCCTAATGGAAACTATTTATATTTGGGTTGGTAGACTCATCTTGGGTGGAGCTGTTTGTGTTGTAGTTTTGTTTGGGTTGTTTACGTGATCTCTGGTCACCTCTCCCTGTGTATAAGTTTTGCAGTTGCCTCCACTCAGCCCCCAGGGAGAACTTTAGCATGCAAATTCAGAACCAGGTCTTGTTTGGAAGTATGCTGCTCCTAGCCCAGAGTGATGGGACTATTGTAGATCTAGTTACTGAGCCAAATAGATCCTGCTGCTTGGCTTGCTCTATTTCCTCCCGTTCCCTACAGAGATTCAGCTTTATAAAGCCGCAGCTTCAAGCAGTGATCAGAGTGGTTTCAACCTCCTTTCATGGTCAGGCAGGCCCACCTAGCCTTTGGTTTTACACAGTGATGCTGGCTCTGGTGCCCCACCACATGTGGGCCACTTTGGTTTTCATTGCCCTGCAGGAGTCACCCTCCTCACTCTGCCTATTTCTGGACCTACAGCCCAGCAGGCCTATACTGCAGTCCAGCTTACCACTGAGTGTTTCCATTTCTGGCCCATGAAAATGTTGAGCTTTGGGGGTTTTTCCACAGCTATGTCTATTAAGTTTGGAGCAGAGAAGAAAATTTTAAAGATATACACACAACACCACTTGATGGGGAAGTATGGAAAGAAGACAAAGAAGGGTGCAGCTATAGACAAATCTGTAGATCAGGGATCAGAAATTGAAGAACATCACAGTTTTGCTTAAGGACGGCCCCGCTTTCAAAGACACAAAAATAATCTAATCAAAGGTAGCAGGTATGTCAGCTGAGGAATGAATGATGCCCAAACGCATATTCACTGTAAGATTCTAATACACAGACATTCAAAGAAGAGGAGGAAGGAGACAAAACGGAATTGCCAGGATGTCAATCAATCCATGCAGTTGTCCAGGGTCCCTGCTTGTCAACTCTCATGACCTTAAACCCAGTTAGAAGGAACGTGATCAGGAGATTAATTGTGATACTAAATTCCAAATTTCATTGAAAAGTCCATCACTCCTATACACACTGGTGCTGCTTCTTGCACAATTCAGAAATTTGCACTGAGGCTCTCACCAATCCCCAGGAATTTCTTAGGTTCTTTTCTTCCTATTTGTGTTCATTCTGCATTTTAAAAACTTCTTCATTTGCTTTTATATTTATCTTCATATTCTTGGTGCCCAAATGCAGCACAACATATAAACTGAGCTGGAGCCCCAAGAGAGCAGGCTCTGCCTTCTTGCAACAGTGCTCTGCCTATTTACAAGAGGCATCTCCAAACACCCTATGTTCTTGGCCTTATATTTCCCCTAGACCCAATTTCCTGCTTCTCTCTATTTCTCTAACTCCCACCAGATACCATGGTTGGCTGGGTGGATGGTTTGTTGGTTTGTTTTAAGTCTGATGATGTCGTTTATGCTGAAGATGCTACTGTTTTATACTTTGGAAATGTTTCATCCTAACAGTCCTCCTCCCTAGGTTAGATTTTCCCTCTGCCTCCACGCTTATGTCAGCTGGAGAATCCTCCCATCAACACATTTCTGAAGTGGAGTTATTGTTGGTGATGTTTCTCAAGTCTTTAGTGGTGCAGGAAAAAACAACATGTCTTCTTCTATGTGTTTTCTAGCTTCTGTTCAGACCAACAGAAATAGTGCTTTCCTGACCTCATTTATTTATTATTTTATTATTGTTATACTTTAAGTTTTAGGGTACATGTGCACAACGTGCAGGTTTGTTACATATGTATACATGTGCCATGTTGGTGTGCTGCACCCATTAACTTGTCATTTAGCATTAGGTATCTTGACCTCTTTTTCTGCAGCAGCACAACCTCTTTACTCCTATTGTTCCATATCTTTTCCGCCCCTCCCCCAAGGATGCCCTATCTCTCTTTCTCTCTCACACGTTCTCGCTCTGTCGCCCAGACTGGAGCAGTCACGGCTCATTGCAGCCTCTAACTCCTGGGGTCAAGCAATCCTCCCTGCTTAGCCACCTGAGTAGCTAGGACTACAGGCACACACCACCACTCCCAGTTGATTTAAGATTCCCTATCTCTTTCGGGTAGATTCACATATTTTCCCAAACTTCATCTATTCCTAATGTAATGTCATTCCTTCTCTACAACATGTAAGCTTATACCATTTGTCTAATCGATGTCATCCTTCCCAGTATATTCTCTTCCCACTTAACCTCAAGGAAAAAAGTCTATTCTTAAAGCTAGTCCTGTTTCCCTTCATGTTTCAGATTCACCACTTCCAAAGCCCAAGCAATACTTTTCTGATCCTCTATCAAATTTTGAATCTTTCTTCTTCATCTATAGTTTTTCTTCTGCCTCTGAGCAAACATAATATCTATAGCCAGAGTGTTCTGGCACCAGAGGCCTTTATATTTTCCAAGATGACAAATTCATGTATAGAAAGGGTCTACTTAAAATATGTATGTGTGTGTGTGTATAGAAAGAGATATATTTAGATCAATATAAATGAATATTCTTACAAATATGTGGTAAAGAGGATTTCTTAAACAAGAATCAAAAAGCAAAATGAAAAACAAGCCCCCCAAAATGAGAAACTAAGCCGATCAACTTGATTGCACTAACATTTAGGCCTGTATGACCAAAGACTCCATGAAAAAAGCTGAAAGCTAAGCAAAGCTGATTAGGAGAAAGTATATGCAGCATACTTAACAAAAGATCATCTCATAGATTAATAAGAAAAAATCAGACAATGTAATAGAAATCTGAATAGAGATTATAAACAGATGATTCACGAAAGAGAAAATGCAAATGGCCAATAAACATGAAAAGATGCTCAATCTCACTAGAAACCAGGGAAATGCAAAGTAAAACAATGACATACTGTTTCTCTCCCTTAGATTGGCACAAAGGTTTAATTTTATTTATGAATTTTTACAAGGTTTTCAGGAACTGGGTACTCTCAGATACTGCTGTGGGAATATAAATTGGTTCAAGTAATTTGCACATAGCCTAGAACCCAGCAGTTCCACATATAGATTTCTATTTGAGAGAAACTCTGGCACATATTCACTTTGTAGACACTTATTCAAAGGTTCCAGGCAGCACTGTTTGTAACAGACAAGTATTAGTAGCAATAACAGTTAAAAGGAATATACTAGATCTATTTGTATCAACATGGATAAATCTCAAACATCACTGCTAATTGAAAAAGGCAAGCTGTAGAATAAAATGCATATGACACCATTTTGTCAAACACACACATACTGATGATACTAAAATGATATTCTGAAAACTCATAATACTGGTTACCTCTTGACCTCTTTTTCTACAGCAACACAATCTAATGCTTTACTCCTGTTGTTCCATATCCATTTCCCCCTAAGGATTCCCTATCTCTCTCACTCTCTCTGTATTAGTCTGCTCTCACACTGCTGATAAAAAATACCCAAGACTGGGTAATTTATACAGAAAAAGAGGCTTAATAGACTCACAGTTCCACGTGGCTGGGGAGGCCTCACAATCATGATGGAAGTTGAGGAGGAGTGAGTCACATCTTATATGGATGGCATCAGGCAAAGAGAGAGAGAGCTTGTGCAGGGAAACTCTCCCTTATAAAATCATTTCAAAACCAATCATGCCTTCCAAACTCTTAACTCATTTCAGCATTAACTCAGAAGTCCATAGTCCAAAGTCTCATCTGAGACAAAGCAAGTATCTTCCACCTATGAGCCTGTAAAATCAAAAGCAAGTTAGTTACTTCCTACATACAATGGGGTACAGGCATTGGGTAAATGAAGCCATTCCAAATGGGAGAAATTGGCCAAAACAAAGGGGCTACAGACCCCATGCAAGTCCAAAACCCAGCAGGGCAGTCAAATCTTTTTTTTGTTTTGTTTTGTTTTGAGACAGAGTGTGTCACTCTGTCTTGCCCAGGCTGGAGTGCAGTGGAATGGTTTCAGCTCACTGCAGCCTCTGCCCCCTGGGTTCAAGCAATTCTCCTGTCTCCGCCTTCCAAGAAGCTGGGATTACAGGTGTGTGCCACCACACCTGGATAATTCTGTATTTTTAGTTGAGACGGGGTTTCACCATGTTGGCCAGGCTGGTTTCGAGCTCCTGACCTCCAGTTATCCACCCACCTAGACCTTCCAAAGTGCTGGGATTACAGGCGTGACCCACCGTGCTTGGCCTCAAATCTTAAACCTGCAAGATGATCTCCTTTGACTCCATGTCTCACATCCAGGTCAGACTGATGCAAGAGGTGGGTTCTCATGGTCTTAGGCAGCTCTGCCCCTGTGGCTTTGCAGGGTACAGCCCCACTCCTGGTACCAATTTACTGTATTAGTCTCTTCTCATGTTGCTGATAAAGACATACACAAGACTGGGTAATTTATACAGAAAAGGGAGGTTTAATGAACTTACATTTCCACATGGCTAGGGAGGCCTTACAATCATGACAGAAGGCAAGGAATAGCAAATTACATCTTACATAGATGGCAGCAGGCAAAGGGAGAGAGAGCTTGTGCAGGGAAACTCTCCCTTATAAAACCATCAGATCTCATGAAACTTATTCACTATCATGAGAACAGCATGGGAAAGACCTACCCCCATGATTCACTTACCTCCCACCCAGTCCCTCCCACAATACGTGGGAATTCAAGATGAGATTTGGGTGGGGACACAGCCAAAACATATCACTCTCTCTCTCTTTTTTTTGGGGGGGTGGGGAGGGAACAGCAGCTCATTCTCTTGCCCAGGCTGGACTGCAGTGGTGCGATCATAGCTCATTGCATGATCTATGGGAAGAAATACATATCACAAGTAGTAAGTAGAAGAACAATAGCTAACATTTATTAAGTGCTTCTACATGCCATATGGTGTTTAAGTGCTTTACAAATATTATTACATTTAATCCTTAAAATCACCCTATGAGTTAGGCATTAATATCCATCCTCCAGATAAGAAAATCAGGCATAGTCAGGTTAAGTAACTTGCATAAAGTTGCACAGCCAGTTAATTAGTTTAATTTGAACCTAAGCAATCTGGCTCCAGCCCTTCCTTACTACTCTATTGTAATGCCTGGGATATGGCATCAGGGTCGTTGGATAGTGCTCAAAGATGACTTAATGGCAGCTTTAGCTGTAGGCTTCCAGTTTTTTGGAAGAAGAAGGTATTTGGAAATCATTTATATAGTTAAAAATCAATTTTAAATAGGAAAAGCAATTATTGATAAATCTTAAATGCAACCACCTCCAAAAGGAAAAGAGGCATGAATGAACAAAAAGAAAGGAAGAAAGAGAAGAAAGAAAGAAAATGGCTTTTACGGATCTTCATTTGTCTAGTGATGAATTTCATAACTCTGATTTATTGAATAATTTTAGTGCTCAAAAATCCCTGCCATTATCAGGATTCATCTCAGCCCAGGGGGAACAAAAGGAGATAAGAAGGTAAACAAATCCCTGGGGTTGTTCCTCCTGTCCATCAATGCCAGCACCACCAGTCCAAAATTGTCTACAGTGAAGTTTTGTCTGTTTTGAGACAAGCCTTCCTTTGCCCTTGAAATTAATTCCTAACCTACTACAATCAGTTCTGTCTCATCACCCAGAGGATGTTACCTGGCCCACAGTCATCCTTATTGTTTGTCTATAATGGAAAGAAAAGGCAATTCCAATCAAATTGCAATTAAAGCAAGGAAATAATGAAAAGTTTTTCTTCTTCTTAGAAACCATCCATTGCCCCCCAAGACCTTCCAGGGGGCAGCAGGGCACAAAGGTCTCAGTAAAGCCCTCAAACTGTTTCATCACCCAGTTGAATAGGAAATCAGTTTTCCTAAAAAGCCAATCAAGGGGGGAAAAAAAACTACAAAATGAGCTATAAAAGAAATTTTGCCACCAGGAACCATATTTAACCTTTCCTTTAGCAAAGAGAAAGTTCCAGGCCCAAGCATAGTGACCTAAACCGTGTTCCTGGACTTGACCAATCCAATATTAGTAATCAACTACTTTGTGGGTGGAGTAATAGCTGAGGGAAGTGAGATTTGAGCTCCCCCACGTGGCAGAAGCCTTCCATTAACCCTGAAGGGGGTGAATGGATTTTTTCAGACTAGCCTAGATTTCTCAGGTCTATGTGCAATTCACTTATCTTCTTGGGATATAAGTTTTTTATAGCATTTTCTGAAATAACATCTTGTGATAAGACTTCTTGCCCTATTACACTGAATACTGCAGTGATTGTGAGTGGGATTAGCCCAGAATATCTTCTCCATAATAGACAGAATGATCTGTTTATTTCTATCTGTTTTTGCCAACCCACACTACACTTTTTGTGTGAACTCATTTTTTTTAGCAAGTTTTTATTTTCAGGGCCGTGTTACAACTAATTTAGTATCTGATTTTCCAAACATTCTATGACGAAGGAGAAAAATAACTCTAGCATGTGTTGTTCTCTCTAAGGTGGTACTTAAAATAGGGCACATAGTCCTATGAATAAGAATAAAATAAACCCTATTGGGTTTGATACATATTCTTCAACCCTCAAAACACCTTGGTAATACAAAACACAGAACTTCTTGGCCACAGCTTGCAGTATTTTTTCCTCCTCTGTCTTAGGAACTCCTTCCAGATATAGAATAAGCCTTGAATTTGCCAGCTCTTCTTGCTACTGCAGCATATTTTCTCATTCCCAAGAAAATATTCTTTCTCTTAAAGAGTAAAATGACAAAAATTAAAAGTCAAACCACAAACTGGGGAAATATTGCACTTATATATGATAAAGCACTTACATAAAACTATCTGAGAAAGACTACCTTCCTAATACATAAAAGAATATAACAATTATTTCCCAGAGAGGAAACGCTGATGCACAACAAAATTTGGAAATGCTTAACCCTCTAGAGAAAGTTTAAAAATACAAATTAGAATAATATAGCACCTTTTTTCTATTATACTAACAAAGACATTTAAAATGGAGAATGTTCTATCTACATACAGTAGAACAGACACCAGATAATTTGCTTTTAAAATCGATTTGGAAAAATACCAAGAGCAGCCTTAAAAATATTCATACCCTTTGATCTCTGGGGTTAATATTAAGAACATAATACAAAATAAGGGAAAAGCTTTATGCACAAATATTTTTATTGACATACTATGGCTAGAAACAACCTAAATAATCAACATTAAGGGATTGGTTACTATTATAGTTTTTCTTAGCCTACTGATTTTCATTTCTGGTTCCACATTAAAATCACTTGGTTTGCTATATTTTTACAATAATGATTCCTAATCTTCATATCAGAACAACTGAATCAAAATCTCTAGGACTGAGACCTAGGCATATATGTATAAAAAGTCTCTGAGTGGCTTTCATGTGTAGCCAGGGTTGAAAACCACTAGGCTGAAGAAACTATGATAGATAATTGTGCAGTAGAATATTATGCAGCCAATAAAAAATGCTTCCAGAGTTTTGAAAAAATACATACTTTAGGGCTGGGCATGATGGTTCATGCCTGTAATCCCAGCACTTTGGGAGGCCGAGGTGGGTGGATTGCTTGAGTTCAGGAGTACAAGACCGGTCTGGGCCACACAGCACCTTGTCTCTACAAAAAAAGAAAAAAAAAAAAAGCCTGGCATGGTGGCGTACACCTGTAGTCCTAGCTACTTACTCAGGAGGCTGAGGTGGAAGGATTGCTTGAACCAGGGAGGTTGAGGCTGCAGTGAGCTGAGATCTTGCCACTGCACTCCAGCCTGGGTGAAAGAATGAGACCCCGTCTTGACAACAGAAAAGAAAAAAAAATACATATTTTATTTTGAAACAGTTCTAAACTTACCAAAAACTTGCAAGGTTGGCATAAAGAACTTTCATGGACCCATCATCTAGAGATGCCATTCAAGTTTGGCCAACTGTCCCAGAAACATCCTTTACAGAAAAGAATGCAGTTCAAGATCTCAACATTGTTCACAGCTGTTATGACTATTTTTCATGACCTCAACATTCTTTAAAGATTATAGGACAATCACTTAGAATATTTTTCAATGTGGGTGTGTTGGGTTCCTCAGGATCACTCCAGGTTTGATGATTTGCTAGGAGGACTCACAGGACTCAGCAGATGGCCACAGTCGTCGCTATGATTTATTAAAGCCAAAGAATAAAAAGGAAAATTAGCAAAGGGAAAAGGCACAATGGGCAAAATCCAGAGAAAACCAGGCAAGCTCCCAAGACTTCTCCCCAGTAGAATCATACAGGATGTGTTAATTTCCCCAGCAATGAGCTCTGATAACACATGTGAAATGTTACCTACCAGGAAGCTTATTAGAAATTCAGTGCTCAAGGGTTTTATTGTGACTGGTCACATAGACACTCTCTGTCCAGCAAGTACCAAAATTCCAGACTCCCCAAAGGAAAGCAGAATTCAACACAATCCTCATTCTTTGTACAAGCAGTTTGGGCAGAGCGAGCCACTCACTGTGTGATGGGAACACTCCTTAAATCCAAGTTCCCAGATACCAATCATGGGCAACCTTGCAAGCAGGCCTTTCTAAGGATAGCAGCCCCAGGCCTGCTATGTTAATTCTCATCTACACAGTGGATTTGTTTGATGTTTCTCATAATTAGACCCAGGTAATATATTTTTGGCTGGAATATCACAGATGTTGTATTCTTTTCATTGCAACTATTGGATGGAGCATGGCATCTGTTTGTTTCTAGTCTGATTCTATTTTTCATGTGTGACTGCTAACAGCTTTCAAGGCCCACTCCTCTTTCTTCCTCTTCTGCCCTACATCTTGGCAAGCTGATAAGAAAGCCTGGGTGATTCCTTGTTTGATGCTGGTGGGAGGTTCAAAGCACGTGAGCCCTGTCCCATAACTGGTAACCCTCACCCCAGCCGGAGCCCATTAACCACAATAAAAAATCAAAGCCAGTCACCCTCTGTGCTTTCTCAGCCATTTCCAGACCTGTTTGGGAGCCTGCCCTACTCTTCCCAGAAAGCCTCAATATATGAGTAATAAATAAATCTCTTTTTATCCTCTTGGGGTGTGTGTATGTGTGTGTGTGTGTGTGTGTGTGTGTGTCATCATCAGTCTCAAATCTAAACCAATTTTGGAGGTGAGGGGTGGTCCATCTTGCACCTATAAAAGTCTCATTACTGGTGGTGTTAACTTTTCTTGGTCAAGACAGTGTCTGCCAGGCTTCTACAACTAGAAAGTCATGTTTTTCCCCTTTTGTAATCAATAGATATTTTCTGGAGAGATAATTTGAGACTATGTAAAATTTCATTTAAACCCTACTTTCACCCACCAGTTTGGGTGTCCATTAATGTTAATTATTACTGTGATAGTTGTCAAATGGAGACCTTCTGATATCATCAATCCTTCTACATTTATTAGTTGGCTTTCTACTGTAAGGGAGACTTCTCTTGCCTTCCCATTTGTTTATTCATTTATTCATTTATTTCTTTTAGCAGTGTGGAGCCACATATTTGTGTTTTATTCAGTAGATTAGAATCTGTAACTGTCATTATTTATCTTGATGCTCAAATCACCAGATGTGGCCAATGAAAGCCTCTTTAAACTGGCTTCTGAGAATTTTTGTTATCTCCTCATTATTGTTTGAGAATTTCTTTGCTTCCTAGCACAGAAGGATATTCAGGTTCATCTTGTACATTCCCTGCCTCAGCCCTGGAATCTGATGTTTCTCCAAGAAGCCCTGCTTCCTTTCATTGAAAAGTGATATTAACAAGTCAAAATCTAGATGCTAGATGTGCTTGTTATAGCTGGGGCATGACTATTCCCAGGCCCTTTCTGTGAATAGAGGTAGGATGTATATGAATGTATACACACATCAAATCTCTCTGTATTTGTGTGTCTGCACACATAAAAACCATAAGATTCACACTGATACCACAAAGTCTAACAACACAAAGTTCATTCTGGTTTCCTTTTATTTTTCTGTAATTGTAACTCCAACAGTGAAAAGCCTGGCTCCTCTTATATGAATCATCCTGTAAATGGCCAGGCTTTCTGCAACCCCCTCCTTCTCTCACCCAAAACTCTAATTTGAACCTGCCTCTATACGCTGCCTAACTTGTTTGGATCTGCCTAATGGCTTTTTGTTTTACAGCTTTATGGAGGTATAATGGATATACAGTGAACTATACATATTTAAGTGCACAATACGTTGAGTTTTGACATATGTATATGCCCATAAAATCATAACCACCATCAAGATAATTAATATATCATCCACCTCAAATAGCTTCCTATGCCCTTTTATAATCTCTCCTTCCTGCCCCTCCTCCACAATAATCCTCTGTGTTCCCAGGCAACAGCTGATCTACTATCTGTCACTATAGATTAGTTTGCATTTTATATAATGGGATCACACAGCATGCACTCATCTTTGGCTTCTTTCACGCAGCATAATTATTTTGAGAGTCATCCATTCCGTTACATGGATCAATACAATAGTCCATCCCTTTTTATTGCTGAAAAGTATTCCATTGCATGGATAAATCACAGCATGTTGATCTATTCACCCACTGAAGGGCATTTGGGTTGTTTGTAGGTTTTTGTTGTTGTTGTTTGTTTGTTTGTTTATTTTGAAATGGAGTTTCGCTCTTATCACCCAGGCTGGAGTGCAATGGTGTGATCTCGGCTCACTGCAACCTTCTCCTCCCGGTTTCAAGCGATTCTCCCACCTCGGCCTCCTGAGTAGCTGGGATTACAGGCATGCGCCACCATGCCCGGCTAATTTTGTATTTGTAGTAGAGACGGGATTTCACCATGTTGGCTAGGTTGGTCTTGAACCCCGACCTCAGATGATCCACCCGCCTCAGCCTCCCAAAGTGGTGGGATTACAGGCGTGAGCCACTGTGCCCGGCCATTGTTTGTAGTTTTTGTCTATTGTAAATAAAGCTGCTATGAACATTCACTACATAGGCTTTATTTTGTGAACAAATAAGTTTATTTTGTCTTGGATCAATGCATAGAGGACAACAACTGGGTTGTATGGTAGGTATAGGCTTAAATTCTTAAGAAACCAACAAAATGTCTCCCCAGTACATCGTGCCATTTTACATCAGCAATATATGAGAGTTCCAGTTAATCCACATCCCTACCAGTACTTTGTAATTTTAACAGGTTTTATAACATTAGCCATTCTAGTGGGTGTGAGGTGGTTTTCATTTGCATTTCCCTAGTGAGTAAGGCTATGAAGCATCTTTCCATGGGCCTATCTGCCATTCTTATATCAACTTTTATGCAAGTTTGGCCCATTTTTCACAAGTTTTTTTATTTTTTATTTTTTTGGTCTTAGGATCCTGGAGTTGTAACGGTTCTTTTTATACTGTAATCTTTTGTCAAATATCTTTCAAAAAGATATTCTCTCATTCTGTGGTTTGCCCTTTCACATTCTTACCATGTCTATGATGCACAAAGTATTTTCATTTTGTGGTGAAGTCCAAATAATTGACTTTCCTTTTTTATTCCTTTCTTTGTATGCTGTTTTAAAAACTTCAACAAAAACAGATCACCAAGGTTTTCTCTTATGTTTTATTCTAAAAGTGTTATTGTTTTATTTAGGGATATGATCAATTTCAACTTTATTTTCCTGTATGATATGACATAAGGGATAAGGTTTATTTTGGTATCCATGTATTTTTTTTTTTTTTTTTTTGAGACAGGTACTTGCTCTGTCACCCAGGCTGGAGTGCAGTGGCACGATCTTAGCTCAATGCAACCTCTACCTCCGGAGCTCAATTGATCCTTCCACCTCAGCCTTCCAAGTGGCTGGGACTACAGGCGTGTGCCACCATGCTCAGCTAATTTTTGTATTTTTTCGTAGAGATGGGTTTTCACCATGTTGCTCAGGCTGGTCTTGAACTCTTAAGCCCAAGTGATTTGCCTGCCTCAGCCTCCCAAAGTGCTGGGATTACAGGCATGAGCCACCATGCCCTACCTTATATAATTTTTCTAGTGCCATTTTGTTGAAAGACTCTCCTTTCCCCCACTGAATTGCCTTGGCAAATTTGTCAAAAATCAATTGACCATATATACGTATGGGTCTGTTTCTAGACTGTCTATATTGTTTCATTGGTTTAGTTTTTTCACTTTATGCTGATACTACACTGCCTGGATTACTGTATCTTTATAATAAGTCTTGAAATCAGCCCCTAAACTTTCTCCTTATTTTACAAAGTTTTTGGTTATTTCAGGTTCTTTGTATTTCCATATAAATTTGAAAGTTAGATTATCAATTACTTTTTAAAAAATCTTGGAATTCTGGTTGAGATTACAACTTAGGGAAACTTGGCATCTTAACAGTACTTAGTCTTTTAATTAATGAACATGGCATAGGTCCCCATTTAGCTAAATCTCCTTGAATTTCTCTCTGTAATGCTTTATAATTTTCAGTGTACAATCAATGCACATCCTTGGTTAAATTTATCACTAAGCATTTCATATATTTAATTGCTATTATAAGTGGTATTCTTAAATTTCAGTGTCTGATTATTCATTATTGGTATACAGAAAAACAAATGATTTTGTCGTATAATATTATGTATTGATCTTACTAAACTCACATACTAGTTTAAATAGCTTTCAAAATATATTCTGTACTTTTTGTCTACATAAAGGATCATTTCTTCTGTGAATAAAGGCAAATTTAGCTCCTTTTCTTGCCTTATTTCACTGGCAAGTAGAATATCTACTATAACATTGAATACAAGTGGTAAGAACATATATTTTTTACTTGATCCTCATCTTAGGGAAAAAGTATCCGGTCTTTTACCATTAAGTATGATGTTAGCTGTAGGTTTTTGGAAATAACCTGTAGGTTGAGTAAATTCCCTTCTGTTCTGAGTTTGCTGACAGTTTTTTAAAAAATCAGGAATGGATGATGGATATTGCCAAACACATTTTATTGTCAGTTGAGATGATCTATGGTTTTTCTTTTTTAGTCTGTTAATAAGATAAATAACTTTTTTTTTTAAACCATTCAGCAAACCTTCCATTCTATGGATAAGTCCCACTTCATTATGACATATTGTCCTTTCATATATTGTTGGAATCAATTTACTAAAATTTGTTAAGAATTTTTGCATCTATGTTCATGAGGTATATTTGTCTGAACTTTTCTTTTCTTGCAAGGTCTTTGTCTAATTTTGGTGTCAGAGTAATGTTGGCCTCAGAATCAGTTGTGACATAGTTCCTCCTCTACAGTTTTCTGGAAGAGTTCATGAAGAATTAGTATTATTTCTTTCTTCGAAGCTTAGTGGACTTGACTAATAAAGCAGCTAACACTGCAGTTTTCTTTATAGCAAGGCTTTTAACCACAAATTCAATTTCTTTAATGGATAGAGGACTACTCTGGTTATCTATTTCTTCATGAGTGAGTTTGGCTAGTTTGAGTTGATCAAGGAATTTGTCTATTTCATCTAAGTGGAATTTATTGTCATAAAGTTATTCATAATATTTATATATTATTCTTTTATCTGTAGGACCTATAGTGATGTCACCTCTCTCACCCATGCTTATGGTAATTTATGTCTTCTCTATTTTCTTCTGATCAGTTGGGATTGAGATTTATTTACTTTATTAATATTCTTATAGAACAAGCTTTTAGTTTCACTGATATTTCTATACAATTTGCCTATTTTCTATTTCATTTATTTTCTTATTATTTCCTTTCTCCTGCTTCCTTTTTGTATAGTTTGCTCTTCTTTTACTGGTTTCTGAAGTTTCTTGATGGTATGGATGTCCTGCAGAAGCTAGGTTCTTCATCACAGAGCTGGCCAAGAAATCAGAGAAGCTGAATGATTCAGGAGAATGCAGAGCAATTGCAGGTGAAGCCCTGCTTCAGGATAAATGTGGTGAGTTAGCAGATAAGAGACAATGTATGTGAGCAACCAAATGGCTGCTGTTTTTCTTCTGCACTTCAAATAGCCCATAAGAATCTCTCCTGTGGTCTACTCTAATAGGGTATATACAGGAAGGGGAACTACAAGAAATTTAGTTCAGTCAATCTACGTCAACCCAATAAGAGGCCATCACAAACCTACTTGTGTCTTTATATTGAAAGTGAGTTTCTTGTAGCCAGCATATACGGTCATGTATCAAATAGTAATGTTTCAGTTAATGATGGGCTATATATGGAACCAATGGTCGTTCCATAAGATTATAAAACTGCATTTTTACTATACCTTTTCTATGTTTAAATACACAAATAATTATCATTGTGCTACACTTGCCTATAGTATTCAGTACAGTAACATGTTATACAGGTTTGTAGCCTAGGAGCAATAGGCTATATCATATAGCCTAGGTACATAGAAGGCTATACTGTCTAGGTTTGTGTAAGTACACACGATGATGTTCACACAATGAGGAAATCACCTAATTAGGCGTTTCTTAGAATGCATCCTTGTTGTTAAGCAATGCATGACTGTAGTTTGGTCTTGCTTTTTTTTAAAAAAAAAATGCAGTCTGACTACATTTAATTAGAGAATTTAGAACATTTACATTTAATGTGATTGTTGATATGATTGTGTTTAAATCTACCTTCTTTGTTTCTTTTCTAGTAGTCCCACCTATTCTTTGTTCCCTTTTACTTCCTTCTTTTGGATTAATTAATTTTGATTCTATTTTTTATCCTTTGTTGGCTTAGTAGCTATAACTTCTAGTATTGTTTTTGTAGTAGTTGCTTTAGATTTTATATTACACATCTAATATTATACCATGTTATGTATAATATTAAAATGCTACGACAGTAAAGTTCCAGCTCTTCCCATTCTGGTCTTGGTCTTGTTTTTACACGTTTTACTTTTTTATTGTTATAAAGTCCATCATACTTTTTTTTGCTTTAGTCAGTAATATTTTAAAGAAATATTTTAAAGCCAGGCGTGGTGGCTCATGCTTGTAATCCCAGCACTTCGTGAGGCCAAGGTGGGAAGATCACCTGAGGTTGGGAGTTTGAGACCAGCCTGACCAACATGGAGAAACCCTGGCTCTACTAAAAATACACAATTAGCTGGGTATGGTGGTGCATGCCTGTAATCCCAGCTACTCAGGAGGCTGAGGCAGGAGAATCACTTGAATCTGGGAGGCGGAGGTTGCGGTGAGCCGAGATTGCACCATTGCACTCCAGCCTGGGCAACAAGAGTGAAACTCCATCTCAAAATTTTAAAAAGAAGAAAAAGAAAAAGAAATTTTTAAATAAAAAGAAAAGGAGGCCGGGTGCAGTGGCTCACGCCTGTAACCCCAGCACTTAGGAAGGCCGAGGTGGGCTGATTGCTTGAGCTCAAGAGTTTGAGACCAGCCTGGGCAACATGGCAAAACCCTATTTCTACAAAAAAATTACAAAAATTAGCTAGATGTGATAGTGCATGCCTATAGTCCCAGCTACTTGGGAGGCTAAGGTGGGAGGATTACTTGAGCCCAGGAGGCAGAGGTTGCAGTTAGCTGATACCTCGCCACTGCACTCCAGCCTAGGTGACAAAGTGAGACCCTGTCTTCCAAAAAAGAAAAAAGAAAAGGATTTATATTTACCCACATTATTTATCATTTCTGGTGTTCTTTATCCCATTGTGTAGATTCAGATTTCCCTGTGATATCATATTCCTTCTACCTGAAAACTTCCTTTAATATTTTAGCTCAGGTCTTTTGCTGATTAAGCTTTCAGCTTTTTATATCTGAAAAAAATATTTCACCTTTATCATGATTTCAATGGTTTTATTGAGATATAATTCAAATACCATACAATTCTCCCTTTTAAAATGTATATTTCAATATTTTTAGGATATACACAAGATTATGCATCCATTGCCACATTTCTGTTCTCCCTAAAGAAATCCTAACTTGCTTTATCTGTCACTTTCCATTTTCTCCTCCCACTTCCAGCCCTAAGCAACTATTAGTCCACTTTCTGTCACTACAGACTTGCCTATTCTGGATATTTCACATAAGTGGAATCATAAAATATCCAATCACCTTTTACTGTTTTTTTCACTTGCCGTAACATTTTCAGGGTTCATGCATGTTGTTGCTTGTATCAGTACTTCATTTCTTATTATTGCCAAGTAACTTTCCATTGTATGCGTATATCATATTTTACTTATTCATTTATCACATGATGAATATTTGAATTATTTTCACTTTTTAATCATTAGGAATGCTATGAACATTTGTATACAAGTTTTGTGTGAACATAAACCTAGGAATAAAATTGATACGTCATGGTAACTCTATGTTCAATACACCTCCACTGTATGACAAATATTTTTGCTGGCTGGAGAATGCTAAGTTGACAGTTTTTTTCTTTAAGTGTTTTAAAGTTGTTTCTACACTGTCTTCTAACATGCATTGTTTCCAGTTAGTAGTCTGTGATAATTCTAATCTTCATTCTTTTTTCCATATGTGTCTTTTTTCTCTGGTTGCTTTATTATTTTTCTCTTTATTACTAATTTGATTGTGATGTGACTTAGCATCATGCCTCTTATACTTGGCATTTACTAAGCTTCTTGAATCTGTGTGGTTTAGAGGTTTCATTAAACTTGGGAAAGTTTTAGCCATTATTTCTTTGATTTTTTTTTTCTGTTCCCACTTACTTCCTTTGGGAACTCCCATTATGTGTGTATTAGGCTGCTTAAACTTGCCCTAAACTCCCTGAAGCTGTATTCACTTTTATTGGTCTTTTTAATTTGTTTCCTTTTGAATAGTTTCTATTGCTCTGCCTTAAGTTCATTAATCTTTCCTTCTGAAGTGACTAATCTGCTGTTAATTCCATCCAATGTATTTTTTCTTTCAGGCATTGTAGTTTTATCTCTAGAAGTTTGATTTACAGTTAAAAAATATCTTTCATGTCCCTTTTTAACATACTCAGGCTATAATCTACCTTCTTGACCATAAGAAATATAATTACAATATCTGTTTTAATGTCCTTTAATTCTGTCATCTGTATTACTACTGAGTCTCTTTCTATTGATTACTTTTTTCATTATGGCTCATATTTCCTGCTTCTTAGCATATTTGGTAATATTTTTATTGGATCCCAGACATCATTAATTTTATCTCGTTAGGTACTGGATTTTTTTTTTCTATATTTTTGTAAATATTCTTGAGCTTTGTTCTTGGAATTAAATTACTTGGAAACAGTTTGATCCTTTGAGACCTGCTTTCATACTTGTTTTATACAGGATCAGAGCAGCTTTTAACCTAGGATTAATTTCATCCCACTGTTGGGACATTATCCTTCTGAATACACTATCTTACATCCACAAATTATGAGTTCTATCCACTCTGGCATGTGGGAATACAAACTCTTCCAAGCCCTATGTGAATCCCAATGGTTTTTCCTCCTAGAAAACTTGAATAGTTTCTTCACACACACACATGCTGTTCAGTACTTAGATGAAAACTCAAAGGGGATGCTCTTCAGATCTCCAGAGCCTTCTCTCTGTGCAGGCCTCTCTTCTTTGGTATTATGTCTCATGAACTCTAATAGCCATGATGTGCTTGAACTCACACTACCCCCTCCTAATACACTAGATGAAAAACCCGGTTCTTATTATTCTGTCTTGTCCAAAAGCAGAAGTCTCCTTAATGGTATTTGATAAGGAAAGAGGGAAGACGATAAACACTTTTAAAGAAGACAATGGAAGGGAAGAGAAGAAATGAAAGAGGAAGAATAAGAATTGTTTACATAATTTTACTAGCATTGGAGAAAGCTTATGACAGTGCTAATGTTTACAAAAACAAAATCATACATACAATATGGTCACAATTATGAAACAAAACAAAAATAAAAACAAACCTGGGCCAGGACTGAGAGAGACACTAACAACACTTGCCCTTGGGAATAGGATTGTTCTTATTTTTAGTTTTTCTATATTTTCCAAAGTTTTAGAAATAATAATTTTATAGCATTTTTATATTGAAGGAGAAAAAAATGCAACTGAGATAAACTGGATCCACCTTAAAATAAGAAGGGAAATAAGGAGAAGAAGAGAATAAAATACCCTAAATTTTGTGACAATTTTTTAGGTAGAAGGATTCTATGGGTTGTCATATTAAGATTAGAAATTCCACTTGGTTGACTTATTGAAATGTTACCACCACCACCACCGCCAAAATGTAGCCCTCAAGGATCCAAGAGACTTGTAATTCCAAATAAGTTGCTACACAATACTAAATAAGATTATCTTCTCACTTATACTGACCTAAAGACTCTCCAGTGATAGTCAGTAGCTAAAGATCTTCTGGCATCTGGCATGAATGCCAGAAATCTGGCTCTAGCTATCTAGATTCTTGACAATGTTTTGATAGCACAAATAAGTTTTCAGAGTGGAGGCTTAACTTCCGGTGGCATTTAAACGCTATACAATTCAAAGACAAAGAGGAAGTTATTTTAAACAGAGCAAGGAAGAACTAACAAATGTGTAGGGGTTGGTGCACACAAAAACCTGACTGTCTTTGCCAGACTTATATGTAGCATGTTCTCCACTATGCTTCTCTTACATCTTGTGGATATAAATTCAGTGTTTGCAGTATTTAAAAAGACGTCGTGTAAAGATCATTTATCTGAATGAACATAAAATAAGTCTTTCCCCCAAAATGCAAACATTTTGCCTCTTTGTTCATTGATTCCCCAGCAAAATTCAGTGTTTCTTCTTCTATGTAAACCTTGTATTTGCTATGGCTAACTCAGTTTTCTGCTTTCCTGTTCATACATATTAAAGGACTCAATGACATAATCGGCTTTGCTTTTCACTCAGTTGCTTAGGGCTTATAAAAATAAAACACAAATACCCACAGCTGTTCTAGGCAATCACTCAGCTCTTTGGAAAGAAAATACAGATACAGAGACAGGTGGTTCTGCTCTAAGCACAACATTCAAAATTAAGAGTGGAGAGACTGCAGCTGTGTTTCCAGGAGAAAACTAGCAAACTCCAAGACTTTCTATGCTAAATACAGTTGCATATGGACACCCAGGATCAAGGGAGTGGCCTGTCTTGAGTCTTGCTTCTCCAGAGGTTGACCAGGATATCCAAAGTCTTACTCTATGGGGATATTTCAAGATTTATGATTGCTCAGTGGCGGTGGTTCAGCAGTCCAGATAATGGAGAGCTGACAGCATGCCGACTGTCAGATTGTGAGGTTAGCAAAGAACACACAAGGAAGTCTACCTGCCCTTCTGTCAGCTAGTCTGATTGCAATAAGAAACGAGTGATACTGTCTGGTTCTAGTCTTAATATACTCACAGCATCCAGCCTAGCCAAAGCTTCTGACTGCTACCCAAAGAATGTGAGACCACAGAAGCTATGACTCCTGTTTCAAAACTGGCTGTCCTTGCTGCCTCCAGCTCCCTTCAGCTGCCCCTAGAGCCTGCCTTACAACTCCTTCAATCTCAGTACTACTGTACAACTGTTTTCAACTTCACGCACTTCTCTGATTTCAAACTTACCACTGAATTGGGTTCGGAGTCCCTATTCCATCTCTAGTCCCAGGAACCACAGTTCTTGCCAGATTAGCCTTCTCCCAAGTGGTGGGAGACTCAAATAGCAGCTTAAACCTCTATATGATTTTTCTACCCTATATCCCCATAAAGCTTTTCCATATCAATCCAGCCATTGATTTATGGGCTATATTGGCACTTATCAAACATTTTTACAGCAATCCATCTATCCCACTCATTCTAATTTTCAGCAGAAAACAGAATTTGAGAAGAATAATCAAGATTACAACGATACAAGAAAAAAATCGAACAAATGAAAAACCTAATGATGATTTTTTCATACGTTAATAAATATTATTATATGAATGAATACGAGCATAACAATAAAAGCCATTACCAATTCAAGTGAACACTGATAGTTGGGTGTGATGGCTTATGCTGTAATCCCAACACCTTGGGAATCCAAGGCAGGAGAATCACTTGAGGCCAGAAGTTCAAGACAAGTCTGGGCAACATAGTAAGGCCCAAAATAAAAAAATAAAGTTAAAAAAGAACATTGTAATCTGCTTTTATGACTTTTGGGGTTTTTTGAGTTGTTCTTTTTTTTTTTTTTTTTTTTTTTTGGTGGGGGGAACAGTTTCCCTCTGTCACCCAGGCTGGAGTGCAATACTGAGATCTCAGCTCACTGCAACCTCTGCCTCCTGGGCTTAAGCGATTCTCCTGCCTCAGGCTCCTGACTAGCTGGAATTATAGGCATGCGTCGTGATGCCCAGCCAATTTTTCTATTTTTAGCAGAGACGGGGTTTCACCATGTTGGCCAGGCTGGTCTCAAACTCCTGACCTCAAATGATCCACCTGCCTTGGTCTCCCAGAATGCTGGGATTACAGATGTGAGCCACCATGCTCGACTTGCTTTTATTAATTTGGTTTTTTCGTTTTGTTTTGTTTGAAACAGTTTCACTATGTTGCCTGGGCTAGTCTTGAACTTCTGGGCTCAAGCAACCCTTCCACCTCAGCCTAATGAGAATTACAGGCACGTGCCACCATGTTTGCTCTGCTTTTATAAATTTGAATAATTTTTTTTTTTTGAGACGGAGTCTCATTCTGCCGCCCAGGCTGGAGTGCAGTGGTGCAATCTCTGCTCACCGCAAGCTCCACCTCCCTGGTTCACACCATTCTCCTGCCTCACCCTCCCAAGTAGCTGGGACTACAGGCGGCTGCTGGCACGCCTGGCTAATTTTTTTTGTATTTTTTAGTAGAGACAGGGTTTCACTGTGTTAGCCAGGATGGTCTCGATCTCCTGACCTCATAATCCACCCACCTCAGCCTCCCAAAGTGCTGGGATTACAGGCGTGAGCCACCGCACCCAGCCAAATTTGTAGTAATTCTTAAGAGGAGAGAAGATTCTGGGAAGACAGCATAGTAGGAAGCACCATAAATCTGTCTCCTCAACTAGTAACAATTGCACTGGCAAAATCTGTCTGATATAAGATTTTTTGAACTCTGGCATCTATTAAAGGCTTGTAACTTCTAGGAAAAGGCACGGATGGTAAATTGAGGTTAATTTTGGTCAATTTCAGCTCTTATAACAGCAACAGCTACCCATCCCCCACCATGTAGTCCCACAGCAGACAGCTGTGTACATGTCCTGGAGAGCCTGCATGTAAACTGCAGAAGCCAGGATGAGCAAAAAGGATCATGTCTTCCAAATATCATGAGTCTGTGCTCTAATTGCTGATTGCTGCTTCTGATCACAGAGATGCAGAGAAAGTGGCAGGTGGCCATTGTTTTTGCACCTCCCCCCCGCATTATTGCAATCCTGTCTCCCATGACTGAAGTGACTTCCAGGGCACTTAAGGGGCTGCCATTTTAACAACACCACCACCACTTTATTTTTCTTTTTTTCCTTTTTTTAGGAGCCAGGCACTGAAGACTAGCACATTCAAAAGCAGCTGGATGTATGAGGGACATTAGAACATCACTGTACAAGCTCAGGGAAAGCCCAGGCTCAGAAAGGGCCTAAGAATACCCTTAAGTTCATGCTTCAGTCTGATCCTTGGCACAGAGATAGTGTTCAACAAACAACAAACAAAAACAAAATAAAAAAAAAACCAGCAAACTTTGAGGAAGGGAGAGAATCTGATTTCTAGAGTTAACATACCATTAGATTAAAATGTCAGATTTCCACAAAAAATCACAAGGCATATAAAGAAACAGGAATGCATGGCTCATTCAAAAGAAAAAACTAAACTGACAGAAACTGTTCTTAGAAAACACCTGATGGCAGATCTACTAGACAAAGGCTTTAAAACAACTGTCTTAAAGATGCTCAAAGAAGTAAAGGAAGACATGGAGAAAGTCAAGAAAATGGTATATAAACAAAATGGAAATATCAACAATGTGATAGAAAACCTAAACACAAACTGCAAAGAAATTCTGGAACTGAAGAGTACAATAACTGAAATGAAACATTCACTAGAAAGATTCAAATGCAGATTTGAGTATTTGAGCAGACAGAAGAAAGGATCAACAAACTCAACAAACTTGAAGATAGGATAATGGAAAGTACTGACTTGAGTAACACAAAGAAATAAGAGTGAGGAAAAATTAACAGAGCCTAATGGACCTGTGTGATATAATCAAGCTAACCAATATATGCATTGCATGGGTCACAGAAGGAGAACAGAGAGAAGGAGAAGAGAGGCTATTTGAAAAATAATGGCCAAGAACTTCTCAAAAGTAATGAAAGACATAAATATAAACATTCAAGAAGGTAAACTAACTCCAAGTAGGATTAACTCAAAGAGACCCATATTGAGACACATTACAATCAAACTGTTGAAAACCAAAAAAAGACAGAAAGCAGCAAGAGAGAAGCAACTTGTTATACACAAGGAATCCTCAATAAGATTTTCAGCAGATTTCTCATGAGAAAGTCTGGAGGCCAGCAGAAGTGGGATGATATATTTTAAGTGCTGAAAGAAAAAAACCTGTCAACCAAGAATCTTGTATCTGGCAAAACTGTCCTTCAAAAGTGAGGAAGAAATTAAGACATTTCAGATAAACAAAAACAGAAGGAGTTTATTACCACTAGAGCTGCCCTACAAGAAATGCTCCAGGGAGTCCTGCAGGATGAAATGAAGGGACACTAGATGGTAACTTGAAGTCATATGAAGAAATAAAGGTCTTAGTTGAGGTAAGTACGTGAGCATTATAGAAGCTAGTATTATTGTAACAATGGCTTGTAATTCCACTTTTTGTTTTCTGTATGACTTAAGAGATTAATACATTTTAAAAGCAATTATTAATCTAAAACCTGTAATTATTGTAACTTTGGTTTGAAACTCCACATTTTGTTTTCTACATAATTTAAGACATGCATTTTTTAAAGTATTTGTTTTTTATATTACAATGCATTATAATTGTATTATAATTGTTTATATAATACGATGTATTATGTGTTTTTATAATACGATGTATTATAAGTGTTTTTATAATACGATGTATTATAAGTGTTTTTATAATACGATGTATTATAAGTGTTTTTATAATACGATGTATTATAAGTGTTTTTATAATACGATGTATTATAAGTGTTTTTATAATACGATGTATTATAAGTGTTTTTATAATACGATGTATTATAAGTGTTTTTATAATACGATGTATTATAAGTGTTTTTATAATACGATGTATTATAAGTGTTTTTATAATACGATGTATTATAAGTGTTTTTATAATACGATGTATTATAAGTGTTTTTATAATACGATGTATTATAAGTGTTTTTATAATACGATGTATTATAAGTGTTTTTATAATACGATGTATTATAAGTGTTTTTATAATACGATGTATTATAAGTGTTTTTATAATACGATGTATTATAAGTGTTTTTATAATACGATGTATTATAAGTGTTTTTATAATACGATGTATTATAAGTGTTTTTATAATACGATGTATTATAAGTGTTTTTATAATACGATGTATTATAAGTGTTTTTATAATACGATGTATTATAAGTGTTTTTATAATACGATGTATTATAAGTGTTTTTATAATACGATGTATTATAAGTGTTTTTATAATACGATGTATTATAAGTGTTTTTATAATACGATGTATTATAAGTGTTTTTATAATACGATGTATTATAAGTGTTTTTATAATACGATGTATTATAAGTGTTTTTATAATACGATGTATTATAAGTGTTTTTATAATACGATGTATTATAAGTGTTTTTATAATACGATGTATTATAAGTGTTTTTATAATACAATGTATAAAGATATAATTTTGTGACATCAACAACAAAAAGAATAAGGATACAGATATAAAGGAGCAAAAATTTTGTATGTTATTGGGGTTAAACTGGAATATTCAAATTTGAGTGATATGCCTTGAAGATGTTAAATGTAACCCTTGATAACCAAAAGGAAATAGCTATAGAATATACACAAAATAAAAAGAGAAAGAAATTTAAACACTTCACTACAAACAGTCAACTAAACACAAAAGAAGATATGAGGAACAAAAATGTATAAGACAAATGGAAAACAAATAGCTAATTGATAGATGTCAGACCCTTCTCGTCAGTAATTACTTTAAATGTAAATGGATTATACTCTCCAAAGACAGATTGAAAGAATGCACTTAAAAAAAGATCCAACTATGTGCTATCTACAAGATACTCATTTTAGATCCAAAGACACAAACAGGTTGAAAATGGAAGGATAGAAAATAATATTCCATGAAAATAGTAACCAGAGGAGGGCAATGGAGGTTATGCTAATAACATACAAAATAGACTTTAAATAAAAAAAAGTTTACAAGAGACAAAGAAGGATATTATAATAAAAGGTTCGATACAGCAAAAGATAACAATTATAAACAGCTACATAACTAAGACCACCAAAACATATGAAGTAAAAATTGACAGAGTTGAACATTGATGAAATAAATTGAAGACAAAAATAAATGGAAAGATATCTCATGTTCATGCATTGGAAGAATTAATATTCTTAAAAAGTCCATGCTACCCAGAGCAACCTATAGATTTAATGCAATCCCTATTAAAATTCCAATGACATTTTTTGCAAAAATAGATAAAACAATTCAAAAATTTGTATGGAACCACAAAAAAAACCCTGAATAGCCAAATCAATCTCGAGCAAGAACAAAACTCCAGGCATCACACTACGTAATTTTGAAATATACTACATAGCTACAGTAATCAAAACAACATTGTACTGGTGCAAAAAACAGAAATAAAAACCAACAGAACAGAAGAGAGAGCCCAGAAATAAATCCATACATTTATGGTCAACAGATCTTCAACAAGGATGCTAGGAACACACAATGGGGGAAGAACAGGCTCTTGAATAAATGGTGTTGGAAAATTGTATATCTGCATGCAGAAGAGTGAAACTGGACCCATATCTCATACCTTATACAAGAATCAAGTCAAAATGGATTAAGGACTTAAACTTAATACCTGAAACTGTAAAACTACTAAAAGAAAACATAGGGGGAAAGCTTCTTGAAATTGGTCTGAGCAATGATTTTTTTTTGGATATGACCCCAAAATGACAGGCAACAAAAGAAGCAACAAAAGAAAAAAATAGACAAATGGGGTTACATTTTCACTTAAAGTCTTCTACACAGCAAGGAATACAATCAGTAGATGAAGGGACAACCTACAGAATGAGAGAAAGTATTTGCAAGCCATACATTTGATAAGGGGTTAATATCCGAAATATATAAGGAACTCAAACAACTCAACAGCAAATAAATAAATAAAACCCAATTTTGAAATGGGCAAAGGACCTTAATAGACATTTCTCAAAATAAGACATAAAAATTGCCAAATGTATTTGAAGAAAATGCTTAACATCATAAGTCATGAGGGAAATGCAAATTAAAATCACAATGAGATATCGTCTCACACCTGTTAGAATGGCTATGATCAAAAAGACAAAAGATAACAAGTGTTGGTGAGGATGTGGAGGGAAAGGAACCCTTGTACACTGTTAATGGGAATGTAAATTAGTATAGCCATTATGGAAAACAGAATGGAGTTTTCTCAAAAAAATAAAAAATAGAAGCCAGGCCCAGTGGCCTGTAATCCCAGCACTTTGGGAAGATGAGGAGGGCAGGTTTCTTGAGGTCAGGAGTTTGAGGCCAGCCTGGGCAACATGGTGAAACCCCATCTCTACTAAAAATACAAAAATTAGCCAGGCATGGTGGCAGGCGCCTGTAATCCCAGCTACTCAGGAGGCTGAGCCAAGAGAATCACTTGAACCTGGGAGGCGGAAGTTGCAGTGAGCTGAGATGTCACCACTGCACTCCAACCTGGGCAACAGAGTGAGACTCTGTCTCAAAAAAAAAGAAGAAATTAAAAATAGAATTACCATATGGTTCGTCAATCCAAGTTAGGGAAATATAATACATCCAAGGCAAACAAAAGCCTCATCTCATACAGTTATCTGCACTGCCATCTTCATTGCAGCATTTATTCTTTACAATAGCCAAAATATAGAAACAACTGTTGTTTGTCAACAGATGAATGGGTCACGAAAATATGTTGGGTATGTGTGTGTTTGTGTGTGTGTATGCCTATATATGTATATGTACATGTACATATATACGTATACATGTATATGTACATGTACATGTATACGTATACATGTATATGTACATGTACATGTATACGTATACATGTATATGTACATGTACATGTATACGTATACATGTATATGTACATATATGTATATATGTATATGTGCATATATGTGTATATACGTATATGCGCACATATATATGTATACGTACATATATGTATATGTACATGTGTATATATGTATATGTACACATGTGTATGTATGCATATGTACATATATGTGTGTACATATATGTGTGTATGTATGTATATGTGTGTGCATATATGATAGAATACTATTCAGACTTTAAAAGAGAAGGAAATCTTGTCATTTGCTACAATATAGATGAACCTGGCTTAGGCTAAGTGAAATAAGCCAAGCATAGACAAATACTCCATGATCTCACTTATATGTGGAATCTAAAAGAGTTTAACTCATAGGAGCAGAGAGTAGAATGGTGGTTGCCAGAGGCTGAGGGGAGGGGTGCCAGAGGAAAGGGAGGTGTTGGTCAAAGGATATAATGTTTCAGTTAGACAGGAGGAATACATCTAGTACTGGAAGTTCTAGCCATAGTAATTAAGCAAGAAAAAGAAATAAAAAGCATCTAAATTGGAAAGCAAGAAGTCAAATTATCTTCATCCACAGATGATAGTAATCCTTAATATCAGTACTATGCTAAGCCATACTGGAGCCTGTGACAAAAAGAAAAGTCAGTGATACTGATCCTATTTTTATTTTAAAATTTGATGCTTTGTTTGTCATTGGATGTTTGCATTCATTTTTATTTTTAAAATACTGCATTAAAGTACGATTTCTTTTGAGTAATGAGTTTTTTCGTGCTCCCTTATATTTTGGATTCAGGATGAGTGCCTCACTTGCTTGACCCCAGCCTGGGTCTTATTTAATACTCAGCATGACTATGTAGTAGTCTTAGTCATACCTGAAGATTATGTCATTTGCTTATGAGAATGGGAGGAAAATCTTACATCTATCGATCCTTTTCCAATCCATCTGGAGACTTTTTCCCATCTAGGACCTTTGCACTTGCTTGTCTTTAAGTCTGAATTACTCTTCACCTCTTCACGTAGTTGGCTGCCTCTCCTCCTTCTCAAATCAAGTGTCTTCTCAGAAAAACCTTCACCAAACCACTTCTAAAATAGGTCTCCTTTATTATTTTCAACCACAGAATCCTATTTGTATATTCCAAAGCACTTAAAAATTTGTACGCATGAACTTGTTTGCTGACCTCTTTATCATGTGTTTCCCCCATTATGCTATACACTCCATGAGGGCAAGGACACTATCTGTCTTGTTCACCATTATGTCACCATCACCTAGCAGAGAGCCTAGCACATGGTAGGTTCTCAGTGTATATTCATTGAATGGATGAAGAAGCTAGGGAAACATAGAAACACAGATAGGTTGGGGACCTTCGTGAGCAAGAAGGAAGCTTTTGTTCTGCTTCATGCTGAACATCTGGAATGCCACCACCTGGTCAATTGCCCACCATCCATCAGGGACACAAGCTCCTCAAAGTAAATCAAGTGGTGAGCATAGTTTGGGAAATGTGACCTGGATGAGATTCAGTTATAGTTGAAGGCTTGGCTGGTGGTTACAAGAGAAAGTGCTAGTCAGGGAAGAAGCTGTATGGGGAGGAGGGTTCTTGGGCCGGGGTAAATGGAAGTCATAACCAAATCTCAAGGAGTTTACACAATGTCAAATCACACTAGGCAATAGCTTTAGCTTTGAATGCTTTCAGGCCTGGCATGAACGAGGTACAGTAAGGAGCCAGAAGGCACTGTATGAACCAAGGACTCCCCTCCTCTCGATGCTACAAGGTTATATAAGCAAATACACGAAGAGACATATTTTGTCAAATGCTCTTTCTGCATCCATTTAGATGATCATAGGGGAGGAGAAGAAGGGTAAAAACTGAAAGACCAAAGACCCAAAAGATGATTTAAATCATTGCACTGGGCTAAATTTGTTTTTTTTCCTTCCTCCTGCCTTGCAAGAAATTGTAAAATAGACAACTTATGTTTTGGAAAACTAAAATATCTAATTTTCTTAACAGATTCAAGTGACAGTGTAAGAACATTAAAAGATTTCACAGCAGGTGCATGAAAGAATCCTGGTGGACTATGGTTTGGGAAACCAAATCATAAACCATGGGTCTATATGGCTTATTTAAATGCTATTCATTACTGCCTTCTTGTCTGGTTTTAGGATGACTGACTTATAGGTCCCTAGAGCTGGGAGAAACTTGGTTATCAGCCAGGTTTGTTCTGCCCATGCACAGCAAGTCAATCACTGAGAAGAAGAGTTTTGCAAAAGAGAAAGAGTTTATTTACAAGGCAGCTAAGCAAGGAGGCAGGAAAAGAGGTCTCAAATCTACTTCCCCAAAAATAGGGCTTGAGGGTTCTTATGGGATAGAAATCTGGGTAGTCCAATGTATGGGTAAAGGTGATTGACAGGTAGTAAAGGTGAGGTAATTGGGGTTTCTGTGCAAATGTAATTGAGCTACATGCTTTTCACAGGATACATGTGCAGAAAATGGTGGCATTATATTGATCTGAGGTGAAAGTTTTGGCCCTCTGACATCAAAATGTCACTCTATAGGCACCTGCACAGGCCCAGCTGAAGGGTCAGTGGTCTCAACCAGCTTCAACTGAACAAGAGCTGCCCCATAGTTCCTGAAAAACAACGTTAAACACCCGTTACTATAATGACCCACAGTCAGAGATGTTATCTGTAAGGAAGCTAGTGGGAGTTTTAAGATCAACTAGAAGTAAGTGATTAAAAGCAAGCAAAGCAGGTTAGTGTTGCTGGGCTTAATCAGCTTAGCCCTTAGTTTCACTTTAGTGCTGATGTATTTCATCCTTCCTCATTTCACAAATGAGGAAACAGATCTTGTGATTTGTTCATCCCAATTTGATTCCTTTAAGAAGCCCATCCCCACCTAAGCAAGACATATTAGAATTCATTTGAAAGAAATCCTCCTCCAGGTTACATGGATTCCCCCTGCCTTTCACCTGCCCTGCACCAGGCTCTCAGTTTCTGTTAATTCTTCATGCAGCCCCTGCATCTGATGCGTAACAGTGCAGGATCTCCCTCTTCAGTGTGCTCTGACTGCAGAGCCTGCTCCATTTCTAAGCAGTTGCTCTTGCTTCAGCTCTGTGGTGATGTAATCTTATGAACAGCTTTCTAGGTAATCTTCCCCCTGGTTTGATCTGGCCCCCTGGACCTCACACCAGTATACTGACCAGTAGGCTACCTTCTCAGGTCTGTCTTGACCTTGGCCATGAGAATAGATTTTTAAAAAATGTTTATACCTCTTGATTTCTTCAACTAAGATTGTGTATTTCTTGAAACAAAGATTATTAATCTTCATTTTCTTCCCCACACTACCTAATACAGTTCCTGGTGATAAAAATATTAGTTAATTGATTTAATTTATTCCCTGACCACCAATACAGCCCTCACATTATATTCTGAGTGAGCAGAGTAGGCAGCTGCTGGTGTGATATAAATTTAGAGTTTAGGAAAGCTCTCCCAGCCCAAGGACTATTTCCCTCTGCCAGGATACCTAAAATAACCACATTACTCACTCCTTTGAGTCAAGGCCTTGAAAATTCTTGTTAAAATGCAAATGTCATCTGGGAGGGATAAATTGAAGCTATCAATGCCTATTAATAACATAGAATATTATTAGCTTAGCAGAGAATAAGAAAGATCTAGAATATAGAAGGGCAGGCTTAAGAAAGCCCCCAAATTTAGGACCCAGTGAAAACAAGAATAGCATTTTGGCAATAGGTGGATGCATACTGAAAGAAACAAGGATCTCAGAAAACTAAAATAAGATGAGAGTAAAAAAGGACCTGTTATAGCACAAAAAAAAAGATTAATAATAACAGCTAATTTTTTTTACAGAGATGGGGTCCCCCTATGCGGTCCAGGCTAGAATGCAATGGCTATTCACAGACATAATCATAGCGCACTACAACCTTGAACTCTTAGGCTCAAGCATTCCTCCTGCCTCAGCCTCCCGAGTAGCTGAGACTACAGGTCCGTACCCAAATAACAGCTAATATTTTAAAGTACCTACTCTATGCCAGATAGTGGTCTGGGTGCTTTGCATGTATTTCTTCACTTTTCGTTTTTTCATATGAGATAGACATAATTATTCGTCACTTTCAGGTGAAGAAGCCAAGGTAGAGAGACATTTATTGATTACGGCCGGGCGCGGCAGCTCATGCCTGTAATCACAGCACTTTGGGAGGCTGAGGCAGGTGGATCGCTTGAGGTCAGGAGTTCTAGACAAGCCTGGCCGGCATGGCAAAACCCTGTCTCTACTAAATATAAAAATTAATTGGACGTGGTGGCCCACACGTGTAATCCCAGTTACTTGGGAGGCTGAGGCACAAGGATCACTTGGACCCTGGAGGCAGAGCTTGCAGTGAGCCAAGATCCTGCCACTGCACTCCAGCCTGGATGACACAGTGAGACTCTGTCCACACCACCCCCCTGCCACCCCCAAAAAACAAAATCAAGACATTGATTTGTCCAATGTTAGAAAGCTAGTAAGGGTGTGTACAGATGGAATTTGGACAAGCTGTCTGGTTCCAGGATCTCTTTGTTGAACCTCTGTACCACAGGGTCACTGTGTTTGGTTGTTGCTTTCATTAATATGGTCCTGATTTTAATCACAGAAAGGTGCTGTTCACTCATCTCAGTCTCCCTTATCTACATTCGAGTAGTCTCCCAGTCCTAAGGACTCTATCTTTCAGTGTGTCTATTCCTTTCCATTTCTCCTACAACCTAGCTCAAGTTCCCTTTATTTTTCTAGAAAGCAATCGCTGCATGCCAGGCACCATGATATCTTATCTCATTTAAGCTTTCAATGAAATACTAATAATTTCTACATGAAGAAACTGAGGCACAGGAAGGTCAGTCACCTGCCCCACTTCCCAAAGTCACTCTATAAATATTACTCTTGGGATTTGCACCCCAGAGTCTGACTTCAGAGCCCATACTCATATTCACCATGTGATCTAACTACCTGGCTATCCTAAGAGCTTCCTACCTTGCCTCCCTGTTGCTGGTCTTTGTTTTGCCCCATCCCCACACCACAAACAATAAAGTCTACTTTGTTACTTTGTCCACACTGACTCCTAATCTGTCATTCAAGGCTATGGATGCTGAGACATCCACCTCATGCCACTCCAGACATAAGTACCTACAGAAAAGTCACTGATACATTTGATTACATTAAAAAAAATGTTGGCCAGGCACAGTGGCTCACACCTGTAACCCTAGCACTTTGGGAGGCCAAGGGGGGTGGATCACCTGAGGTCAGGAGTTTGAGACCAGCCTGGCTAACATGGTGAAACCCCTGTCTCTACTAAAAATATAAAAATTAGCCCAGCATAGTGATGCACGCCTGTAATCCCAGCTACTCAGGAGGCTGACACGGGAGAATCGCTTGAACCCATTTCACTCCAGCCTGGGTGACAGAGCGAGACTCCATCTCAAAAAAAAAAAAAAAGTGACATAGGAGGGAAAACAGGCAATTTAGAGGCTTAAAGCCAATGAAAAACGTTTGAACTTAATCATAGTTGAAGAAATACCAGGCTGGGCATGATGGCTTACACCTGCAATTCCAGCACTTTGGAAGGCCAAGGCAGGAGAATCACTAGAGTCCAGGAGTTCGAGACCAGCCTGGGCGACTTAGTGAGTCTCCATCTCTACAAAATACTTAAAAATTAGCCTGGCACAGCAGTGTGCACCTGTGGTCCAAGCTACTTGGGAGACTGAGATGGGAGGATCACTCGGGCTCAGGAGGTTGAGGCTGCAGTAAGCCACCCTGGGCAACACAGCAAGACCCTGTCTCAAAAAGGATGGAAGGAAGGAAGGGAGGGAGGGAGGGAGGGAGGGAAGGAAGGGAGGGAAAGAAAGAAGAAAGAAAGAGAGAAAGAAAGAGAAGAAAGGAAGAGAAAGAAAAAGAAAGGGAGGAAGGAAGGAAGGGAGGGAGGGAAAGGAGGGAAAGAAAGAGAAGAGGGAAAGAGAGAGAAAAAGAGAGAATGGGAGGAAGGGAGGAAGGGAGGGAGGAAGGAAAAGAAAGAGAGGGAGAAAGAAAGAAAGGCAGAAAGAAGAAAGAAAGAAAGAAAAAGAAAGAAAGAAGAAAGAAAGAAAGAAAGAAAGAAAGAAAGAAAGAAAGAAAGAAAGAAAGAGAAAGAAAGAAAGAGAAAGAAAGAAAGAAAGGGCGGGAAGGTGGTTTAAATTTTTTACTTTTTATTTTGAGACGGAGTTTCACTCTGTCACCCAGGCTGGAGTGCAGTGGTGTGATCTCCGCTAACTGCAACCTCCACCTCCCGGGTTTAATCGATTCTCCTTTCTCATCCTCCCGAGTAGCTGGGATTACAGGTATGCACCACCACAGCTGGCTAATTTTTGTATTTTTAGTAGAGATGGGGTTTCACCATGTTGGCCAAGCTGGTCTCAAACTCCTGACCTCAAATAATCCACACACCTCGCCTTCCAAAGTGCTGGGATTACAGGCAGGAGCCACGGCACCTGGCCTGACATGGTATTATTTCTTACCTATTGGTTTGGACAAAATTTTTAAGATTGATACCTAGTCTTGGAGAGAGTGGAAAAAGGGGTCTTTATAGACTATAATTTGGAAAGTAAATTAGTGCAGCTTTTTTGTAGGGCCATTTAAGATTATTTACCAAAATGTAAAAAGCACATACCATTTGACTGAACATTTCTATAACAAAAAAATGTCTTCTATGGACATAGTTAAACAAGAATAGCTGCTCTAGGGTGTTCACTGTAGCAATTTTTGGTAAGAAACCCCAATTACTGGTAAGTGGGTCATAGAAAATAAATTGTGATGTCATGAATACATTTCCAAAGATTATCTATGCTAAACTGCAATGGTCCCCAAATTAGGTTATAATCACCAAGAAAATATTACACCTAATATTTAATATATATTTATGCATTTTAACTTACCTTTCTTAAATATACTTTTATGTATGTTTTAAAGTGTACATGATAGATTAATGTAGTGGTGTAGGTATATGATTTATAAATAAACATACATATGTTGGCATTAAATGACAAAAAGCGTTTGTTGTTAGGAATGCAGCAATTCAAATTTGTGCTGGAGATTGATATACAGGGTAAAGATCAAATGCCGTAGCATGTCACCCATACAAGGCCTTCAGCAACAGGGCTTTCAATTACCCTACTTCTCTCACCTCCTTTTCCACTCCTTTTTCTCTTCCCCAACCCAAGGCAGCATATGGCCCAGGAAACCAATTTACTCACGGGTTCTTAGTTATGTGTGTCTCTTGTGCTCCTACATGTTTTGCTGGGTGTACCAAGAATTCAAGGCCTTGACTAATCTTTACCAGGGCCATTTCTCAGGGCTATGTCTGAAGCAAGCAGCCTTCAGGGATGAGGCAATGTCTCCCTCTGGGACAAAGAGCAAGGATGTGGGGCCCCACTCAGAACCCTGGAGTTGGTATAAAGATTATTTTAAGTTGAAAACATTAGAGATTCAATAGATGCAGAAAGCCTTGTTGGAATGTCCCTTATCTGACTAAAAGCAGCAACTTCTAGGAAATGAGGCTACCATAAACTCCCTCTTCGGGGTGGGTCTTACCACCAGAAAAAAAGGCCAAGAGCAAATCTACCATAAGTACTCTTTCCACAGGAGTTATATGGCCATGGAGAAGATGGAAAAGACCACTAGCACCCACATAAACAAACTTTATCACCAGCTTTCTTATCTCCCAATTTGTTGCCCAGAAACCAATCTGTTTTTACCATGGAAGCCCTTTCTCCTCCCTCCTTTTCTTTAAGTTAGGTATATGCACCTCTAACTTTAACCACTTAATGAAGCTAGCTACTTTTTTGGTTAATTCCCATATGCATACAAATAAAACCCTTTTTCCTCCTGTTAATCTGTCTTTTGTCAGATTAACTTGCAGGCCCTCATTTAAAGAAATTAAGAGGATAGAGGAAAATTTTTCTCTCTCTGACAATGCGCATGTTGCTTGCCATGATATAGATAATATAGCCCTTTGTAACTTACCCAGGAGTCTCATATCTTCTGCCAACATCCATGAAACCATAACAAACTCCGTAAATAGGGTGTAAGTAGATTAAAGATAAATCTTAGACTCAACAATGGAGCATTTTCCTCCCTTCTATTACACTGCCCACAATTCCCTTAGCTTGAAATACGTTTTCTCCAGTCTTTGCTTCTTTGTGACTTCTTTTTTTACTTTCTTTTATGGATAATATAGTGTTTAAATCCATTTGTTTCCTACTGACTTCAAAATTATACTTTATATATTTATTCTCAGATGAATCACCCTTAGGTTATGCATAGGTTTCCCTCTGAAAAGTTTCATTAGTATCTCCTTACTTCTCTCAAACTACAAAGACGTCAGAATGCTTTAACACAAATCATATGTCCACTTTTTCCATGTTATCTATTGTCAGTGAAAAGAATCAAACTCTGTAAAATATCTAAAGAAGTTTATTCTTAGCAAAATATAAGTGACCATGGCCCAAGAGGTCCTAAGAACATGTCCCCATTGTGGTTAAGTTACAGTGCTTGGTTTTACGTGTTTTAGGGAGACCTAAGACATCAACCAATAAGTGTAAAGTACACATAGGTTTGGTCTGCAAAGGTGGGACAATTAGAAGCAGTGGGGCTTACAGGTCATTGGTGGATTCAAAGATTTTCTGATTGGCAATTGGTGGAAAGAGTTATTATCTGAAGACCCAGATTCGATAGATAGGAGTGTCTGGGTTAAGATAAGGGGTTGTAGAGACCAAGGTTCTTGGTAATGTAGAGGAAGCCTGCAAGTAGAAGGCTTCAGAGAGAATAGATAGTAAATGTCTCTCATCAGACCTTAAAAGATGCCAGATTCTTGGTTAAATCTCTTCTGGCTCAGAAAAAGACCTGAAAAGGGAAGAGGATTCTTTACAGAATATAAATTTCCCCCACAACAGGCAGCTTTGCAGGGCCATTTCAAAATACTTCAAAGAAATATATTCCACTGCACTCCAGCCTGGGTGACAGAGCAAGACTCCGTCTCAAAAAAAAAAAAAGAAATATATTTTGATGTAAAATACTTAGATACTTTCAGGGCCTGCTCCCTGTCATGTGATGCTTTACTAGAGTCAGGTTGGAATTTGATATCTTATTGCTACAAATAATCTATTTTGTCTTAAGATCTCTGTTTTAATGTTAATGCTGATCAGTTGTGCCTGAATTCCAGAGGGAGGAGAGTTGTGATGAGGCCTGTCCAGAACACTCTTACCATTATGACCTGAAATTGTGTTTTTTGTTTTGTTTTTTGTTTCTTTATGTTTCTTTCAAAACCTCCCTGGCTGAGAGGAGGGGTCCATTTAGTTGGATGGGGAGCTTAGAATTTTATTTTTTGGTTTATATATTGTTGTCTTTTATTTTAATTTTACCTCATTTTATTTCCCTCCCCTTTTATTCATTTTTTAAATTGTTTTGTTTTGTTTTTGCTAAAAAACAATTATTCAGATTCACCCCATGCTTACCAAATGTTTTACTCATCATTACTTCATGCATCCCAATCCTTCTTTCTAGGTTTAATCTCTTTCTTGTATTGAAGTATATCCTTTAATAGTTCTTTCAGCAATGGCCTGTAATTGGTAAATTATTTCAGCTACTTCATCTAAAACACCCTTATTTCATCCTCACTCTTTGGAGACCATTATAGCAAACGTTTTTAAAACTTTAGTATGCACAAAAATAATCTGGGGAAGTTTGTTAAATGCAGTTTCTCAGGTCCCTTTGAGTTCTATTTTAGTAGTTTTGGAAGGAAGGGGCCAGGAATCTACCTTTTCTACTAACTCTTCAAGTAATTCCGATGTAACTATGTCAAGCCTACACTTTGAGAAGAAATTAGGCTATAGACAGAGATAGCCATGGAAAAGATTTTTTGTTTTTTTACATTTTTAAATAAAAGTAATACATGCTCATTTAAGACATTTTTAGGACAATAGAGAAATAGGGAAGAAAAAGTCACTTAATTCTATCCAAATACAATTACTGCCAGTATTATGAAATAGAATTGATCCTCACCATGCAGAGGATCTGCAAATGCAGATTCTATATTTGCAAATTCTGCCTACCCCTAAAATTTATTTGTAACCCAAAAATCAAAATTTGTGGTCATTCATGGACATGCAGACAGCAATGAAAAGTTTGAGTCATCTCCCCAACCTGCGGATGCTCCTAACTGATATCAAAGAAGGTCCTGCTCTGCCTTCTTGTTTCAGCTCCCATATAGATGTGATCAGAGGATGCAGAAGGTAGTGGGGTGGGGCAGAGTAGTTCAAGAAGCTCTAGCTCTGGGGCCAGTAGGACAGGGGCAGCCCATGCTGACATTTATTGCAACAGCCTTAGGCAAGTCTCTTAACACTTTTGAACCTCATTTTTTTTCTTTGTAAAATAAAGAAAATAAAATCTACCAAGATGACTTGTTTTTAGGATTTAAGATTATAATCTATGTGAGATATGTGATATATGTGTGTGTGTATATCTATGTGAGATATATAGAAACACGCATGACTCATATAGAAACAATGACTCAGTATTCACTAATTCAGTGTTCACAGACTTTATGGAACATAACTATCATCATGAGAATCAACCATATTTCCTTCTAGACTTTTTAATATGTGTAAATTTTTTGCAATGTTGCTGTTGAGATTTATATGATGCATTTATAAGGTTAGCTTCTCCCACTCATGATCATCTTCCTCTAGTGTGGTGGTTTCAACCTGGCTGCACATTAGAGTCACCTGGGAAGCTTTAGAAAACATTGATGCCAGCCAGGCATGGTAGCTCACGCCTGTAATCCCAGCACTTTGGGAGGCCAAGGTGGGTGGATCACCTGAGGTTGGGAGTTCAAGACCAGCCTGGCCAGCATGGTGAAACCCTGTCTGTACTAAAAATACAAAAATTAGCCAGGGATGGTGACAGGCGCCTGTAATCCCAGCTACTCAGGAAGCTGAGGCAGGAGAATCGCTTGAATCCGGGAGGCAGAGGTTGCAGTGAGCCAAGATCACGCCATTGCACTCCAGCCTGGGCAACAGAGCGAGACTCCATCTCAAAAATAAATAAATAAATAAATAAATAAATAAATAAATAAATAAATAAATAGAAAACATTGATGCCCAGACCCCATCCACAGACATTCAGATTCAATTGTTACAAGGCTGGTCCCAGGCATTAGCTGCATTTAAGAGCTCCAGATTGTTCTAATGAACAACCTGAGGTCAAATCTCTGTTTAATCTATTTGGAAAGGAAGCCCCTGGTCTCAGTGCACTTTGGAGTCATCCATTTGGCAGCCCCCTCTCCCTATAGTGTCCTGCTCCCCGTCTCCCTATGGTGTCCTTCTCCCCCACTCCCTGCTCTGTTCTTGCCATAGCTCTTTCTTCTTCTTGTCAGTGCCTGGAACTCAGGCCTACTGTCCTTCCCAGGGCAATGCTGCCATTTGTGCCACTGATCTGGTAGAAGGGTGAGGTAGGAAAGGCCCTACAGTGCCTTTACTAACTCACCTCTTAGTCTCCTCACAACAGTGTCCCACAAGGCTGGAAGAGAATAGCAGGCTTTACTGGGAGATTGGAGGCAATGAAAGGAGACTGCAGAGCAAAATGAAAACTGCCAATCAGGCACCAAAAGTGATTGCTTCAATCGTCTAAGGAAAAATCACCACCACCACCCAAAAAATGTTCACCCAGACCCCTGCCTCCTGCCCTCTTCAGTCCTTATCAATCCATAGGACACGCCCTTAGTAGGATGTTTCCCAAAATATGAGTTTCTGAGTCTAGAATAACATTCCATAAACAATGGAAAGGGATCTCTCTACCATTGTGAGATAAAGATATACTTCTGTTTTTCTTCCTGACAGTTCAGCAGGTAACCACTGAATCAAATGCACACACACACACACACGCGCGCATGCACAGAGAGAGAGAGAGAGGGAGAGAAAGAGATAGAGAAAGAGAGAGAAATTCACAGATAAAGCACATATCATGGATGTAGAGAAACATTTTCCTCAGTGTGCGTTAACATAGCTCCCATATATATTGAAGATGATCTTTTACTTTATTATTCCAGTAACTTCAGCCTGGCCACCCCACAGCTATTACTTAAACTCCTGCTTAGAAATCCTTCCTAGAGGCCTGTTAGTGTTTAATTGTCCCGTTTATGCATCTTTTTAAAGCATCACAGCCACATGCCTCAATGGCCATGCTTTGGGTGCCACAAAGAAATAGCAAAACATTCATAAAATCTACCCAGTCCAATGTCCTGAAGGATTTCCCTTTTGTTTTCTTCTAGTAGTTTTATAGTTTGAGGTCCTACCTTTAAATCTTTCATCCATTTTGAGGTAGTTTTTCTATATGATGAGAGATAGAGGTCTAGTTTTATTCTTCTGCATATGGATATCCAATTTTCCCAACTCCATTTATTGAAGAGGCTATCCTTTCCCCAGTGTATATTATCAGCACCTTTGTCAAAAACTGGTTGGCTGTAAATATGTGGATTTATTTCAGAGTTCTTTATTCTGTTCCACTGGTCTATGTGTATGTTTTTCTACCAATACTATGCTGTTATGGTTACTATAGCTTTGTAGTATTATAGATTTTGATGTTAGATAGTGTGATGCCTCCATCTTTGTTCTTTTTACTCAGGGTTTCTTTGGCTACTTGGGGTCTTTTGTGGTTCCACACAAATTTGAGAATTGTTTTTTCTATTTCTATGAAAAATGTCATCAGTATTTTGATAGGGACTGTGTTGAATCTGTAGATTGCTTTTGGTAGTATGGTCATTTCAAAAATATTAACACTTCTAGTCCATGAACATAGGATGTATTTCCATTTTTTGTGTGGCTTTTTCAATATCTTTCATCAGTGTTTTGTAGTTTTCATTGTAGAGATCTTTTGCATCCTTGGTTAAACTTATTCCTAGGTAAAATTTTTGTAGTGGGGACAATTTGACTTTCTCTTTTCCCATTTGGATGTCCTTTGTTTCTTTCTCTTGCTCCAGCTAGGATTTCCAGTAGTGTGTTGAATGAGAGTGGTGAAATTGGGTATTCTTGTCTTGTTCCATTTCCTAAAGAAAAAGACTTCAGTTTTTCCCCATTCAGTATGATGTTAGCTATAGGTTTGTCATATATGGACTTTATTATGTTTAGGTATGTTCCTTCTATGCCCAGTTTGTTGAGGACTTTTATCATGAAGTGATGCTGAATTTTATCTAATGCTTTTGCTGTGTCTATTGAGATGCTCATGTGGATTTTGTCCTTAATTCTGTTTATGTGAGGTATCATGTTTATTGATTTGCATATATTGAACCATCCTTGCATCCCTGGGATAAATCCCACTTATCCTCACGTATTATCTTGTTGATGTGCTGTTGGATTGCATTTGCTGGCATTTTGTTGAGGATTTTTTACATCTATGTTCATCAGGGATATTGGCCAGTTGTTTTCTTTTTTTGTCATGTCCATGTCTGGTTTTGGTATCAGGGTAATGCTGGTCTCATAGATCAGGGGGTTTAGAATAATTCCCTCCTTTTCAATTTTTTGGAATACTTTGAGAAAAATTGGTGTTAGTTCTTCTTTAAAGATTTGGTAGAAGTCAGCGTGAAGTCACCTGGTCCTAGGCTTTTCTTGATTGGGAGACTTTTTACACTACTAGTGGGAACCTAAATTATGAGAGTCATTACAGAAAACAGTATGGAGATTCCTTAAAAAGCTAAAAATAGAACTACCATAGGATCCAGCAATCCCACTATTGGGTATTTATCCAAAGAAAACGAAATCAGTATATTGAAGGGATCTATGCACCCCCATGTTTACTGCAACATTTACAATAGACAAGATGTGGAATCAACCTGTGTCCATCAACAGATAAATGGATAAAAAAATGGTATATATACACAATGGAATACTATTCAGCCATAAAAAAGAATAAAAGCCTATCATTTGTAGCAACACGAATGATCTGGGAGGACATTCTGTTAAGGGAAATAAATCACGCATAGACAGACAAATACCACATGTCTTCACTCATATACAAGAGCTAAAAAAGTTGTTCTCACCCATATGTAGGACCTTAAAAAGTTGTGCTCGTGACAGCTGAGAAGTGGTTATATGGCTTGGCAGTGAAATGGATTCCGGAGCCACACTGCCCAGGTTCCCAAGTCCATGCTTCACCATGGTCACCAAAGTCACCAAGCTTTGTGACTTTGGGAAAGCCACTGAACCTTTTAAATTCCCCATGAGAGGCCGGGTGCGGTAGTTCACGCCTGTAATCCCAGCACTTTGAGAGGCCAAGGCAGGTGGATCACTTGAGGTCAGGAGTTCGAGACCAGCCTGACCAACATGGCAAAATCCTGTCACTACTAAAAATACAAAAATTAGCTCCCTCTCCCTCTCCCTCTCCCAGTCTCCCTCTGAACTGTCCTGCTGCCATCTCGGCTCACTGCAACCTCCCTGCCTGATTCTCCTGCCTCAGCCTGCCAAGTGCCTGCCATTGCAGGCGCGCGCCGCCACGCCTGACGGGTTTTCGTATTTTTTTGGTGGAGACGGGGTTTCACTGTGTTGGCCGGGCTGGTCTCCAGCTCCTAACCACGGGTGATCCGCCAGCCTCGGCCTCCCGAGGTGCCGGGATTGCAGACGGAGTCTCGTTAACTCAGTGCTCAATGGTGCCCAGGCTGGAGTGCAGTGGCGTGATCTCGGCTACAACCTCCACCTCCCAGCCGCCTGCCTTGGCCCCCCAAAGTGCCGAGATTGCAGCCTCTGCCCGGCCGCCACCCCGTCTGGGAAGTGAGGTGCGTCTCTGTCTGGCCGCCCATCGTCTGGGATGTGAGGAGCCCCTCTGCCTGGCTGCCCAGTCTGGAAAGTGAGGAGCGTCTCTGCCCGGCCGCCATCCCACCTAGGAAGTGAGGAGCGTCTCTGCCCTGCCGCCCATCGTCTGAGATGTGGGGAGCACCTCTGCCCCGCCGCCCCATCTGGGAGGTGAGGAGCGTCTCTGCCCGGCCGCCCGTCTGAGAAGTGAGGAGACCCTCGGCCTGGCAACCACCCCATCTGAGAAGTGAGGAGCCCCTCCGCCCGGCTGCCACCCTGTCTGGGAACTGAGGAGCGTCTCTGCCCGGCAGCCACCCCGTCCGGGAGGTGAGGGGCGCCTCTGCCCCGCCGCCCCTACTGGGAAGTGAGGAGCCCCTCAGCCCGGCCGGCCGCCCCGTCCGGGAGGGAGGTGGGGGAGTCAGCCCCCGGCCCGGCCAGCCGCCCCGTCCGGGAGGGAGGTGGGGGGTCAGCCCCCCACCCAGCCAGCCACCCCGTCCGGGAGGTGAGGGGCACCTCTGCCCCGCCGCCCCTACTGGGAAGTGAGGAGCCCCTCTGCCCGGCCAGCCGCCCCGTCCGGGAGGGAGGTGGGGGGGTCAGCCCCCCGCCCGGCGAGACGCCCCGTCCGGGAGGGAGGTGGGGGGTCAGCCCCCTGCCCGGCCAGCCGCCCCGTCCAGGAGGTGAGGGGCGCCTCTGCCCGGCCGCCCCTACTGGGAAGTGAGGAGCCCCTCTGCCCGGCCAGCCGCCCCGTCCGGGAGGGAGGTGGGGGGGTCAGCCCCCGGCCCGGCCAGCCGCCCCGTCCTGGAGGGAGGTGGGGGAGTCAGCCCCCGGCCCGGCCAGCCGCCCCGTCCGGGAGGGAGGTGGGGGGTCAGCCCCCCACCCAGCCAGCCACCCCGTCCGGGAGGTGACGGGCACCTCTGCCCCGCCGCCCCTACTGGGAAGTGAGGAGCCCCTCTGCCCGGCCAGCCGCCCCGTCCGGGAGGGAGGTGGGGGAGTCAGCCCCCCGCCCGGCCAGCCGCCCCGTCCGGGAGGGAGGTGGGGGGGGTCAGCCCCCCGCCTGGCCAGCCGCCCCGTCCGGGAGGGAGGTGGGGGGGTCAGCCCCCCACCCGGCGAGACGCCCCGTCCGGGAGGGAGGTGGGGGGTCAGCCCCCTGCCCGGCCAGCCGCCCCGTCCGGGAGGTGAGGGGCGCCTCTGCCCGGCCGCCCCTACTGGGAAGTGAGGAGCCCCTCTGCCCGGCCACCACCCCGTCTGGGAGGTGTACCCAACAGCTCATTGAGAACGGGCCATGATGACAATGGCGGTTTTGTGGAATAGAAAAGGGGGAAAGGTGGGGAAAAGATTGAGAAATCGGATGGTTGCCGTGTCTGTGTAGAAAGAAGTAGACATGGGAGACTTTTCATTTTGTTCTGTACTAAGAAAAATTCTTCTGCCTTGGGATCCTGTTGATCTATGACCTTACCCCCAACCCTGTGCTCTCTGAAACATGTGCTGTGTCCACTCAGGGTTAAATGGATTAAGGGCGGTGCAAGATGTGCTTTGTTAAACAGATGCTTGAAGGCAGCATGCTCATTAAGAGTCATCACCATTCCCTAATCTCAAGTACCCAGGGACACACACACTCTGCCTAGGAAAACCAGAGACCTTTGTTCACTTGTTTATCTGCTGACCTTCCCTCCACTATTGTCCTATGACCCTGCCAAATCCCCCTCTGCGAGAAACACCCAAGAATGATCAATAAAAAAAAAAAAAAAAAAAAAAAAAAAAAAAAAAGTTGTTCTCGTGTAAGTATAGAGTAGAATAGTGGTTACTAGAGGCTAGGAAGAAGAGAGGGAGGAAGGATAAAAGAGGTTGGTTAATGGATACCATATTACAGCTAGATAGGAGGAATAAGTTCTAGTAGTCTATAACACTGTAGGGTGAATATAGTTAACAACAATTTATTGTATATTTTTAAACAGCTAGAAGAGGATTTTTAATGGTTTCCAATACAAATAAATGATAACTGTTTGAGGTGACGGATATGTTAATTACCCTGAATTGATCATAACATATTGTATATATCAATATGATACACAATGTGTATCAAAATATTACACTGTCCCCATAAATATGTACAATTATTACATGTTGATTAAAAAATAATAATTTTTAGGCCAGACACAGTGGCTCACGCCTGTAATCCCAGCACTTTGGGAGGCTGAAACAGGCGGATCACTTGAGGTCAGGAGTTCAAGACCAGCCTAGCAAACATAGTGAAAGCCTGTCTCTACTAAAAATACAAAAACTAGTTGGTGTTGTGGCAGGCGCCTGTAATACCAGCTACTCGGGAGGCTGAGGCAGAAGAATCACTTGAACCTGAGAGGCAGAGGTTGCAGGGAGCTGAGATTGCTCCACTGCACTCCAGCCTGCGAGACAGAGCAAGACTGTCAAAAAAAAAAAAAGTTAAAGAAATATCAAAGCATTGAAAGCACTTCTTTCTTTCCTGTTACAGTAAATCATTTTCTTAGGGCATTTCAAAGACTAGCTTTTGTCAGTAGTAGAAGGCAATATGAGGATGTATTATCCTCCCATCTAGGCTACTTCTCTACCTCGCCTGAGGGTAAAGTGATGGAGATGAGAGGAGAAAAATGAAGGCTTCAACTCTTCTTCTGTATGTTGTGATTTTGAATTTTAACACAGTTTTATATTTTAATATATTTACTTAGCATTATAGCGTAAACACTTTCCCATGCTATAAAATAGTATTTTTAGTAGCTACAGAATATTTCATTGAATAGATATACAATGACTACTTAACTATTTCTCTATGTGTACATTAGGTTTCCCTCCAATTTTTCATTATCTTAAATAAGGCTGCAATAAACGTCTCTCATATACAGCACTTTCCTTACAGCTACTTGCTGAGGATGGATGCTTAAAAGTAGAACTGCTAGGCCAGGCTCAGTGGCTCACGCCTGTAATCTCAGCACTTTGGGAGGCAGACAAAGGCAGATCACACGAGGCCAGGAAATCGAAACCAGCCTGGGCAATATGGTGAAACCCCATCTCTACTAAAAATAATTTTTTTAAAAAATTAGCCGGGTGTGATGGCGTGCTCCTGTATTCCCAGCTACTCAGGTGGCTGAGGCATGAGAATCCCTTGAACCCTGGAGATGGAGGTTAAAGTGAGCCAAGATTGTGCTACTGCACTCCAGCCTGAGCAACAAGCAAGATCCTATCTCAAAAAACAAATAAATAAATAAATAAAATCAGTTTAAATAAAAATAAATAAACAAATAAAAGTAGAACAACTAAACTGGTGCTGTAGCATGTGCCTGTAATCCCAGCTGTTTGGGAGGCTGAGTCAAGAGGATCCCTTGTGCCCAGCAGCTTGAGACCAGCTTGAGCAACATAGTAAGATTCTGTCTCACAAATATATATACCTTTTGACCAGTAGGGGTTTGTTTTGTTTTGTTTTTGAGATGGGATCTCATCATGTTGCTCAGGCTGGGCTCCAATTCCTAGCCACAAGTGATCCTCTGGCCCCAGCCTCCCAAGTACCTGGGACTATAGTCACGTGTCACTGGGCCTGGCTTTGTTTTCTAAATTCTTGATAAATATTGGCAAACACTTTTCTCTGAAAGACATGTGTACATTTAGACCTTTACCAGAAACATATGAGACTGGATGTGGGTGATTTTAAAACCAAAAAAATGACATGATCAGATTTTTAAAAGGTTATGTCTGACTTCATGTCTGGGCCTAATTAGATGGTGGGGGGTTATGGTAGTCCAGGTACAGATGGTGAGGGCCTGGTAAGAACTAGAGGGAAGGTGCTGGGCGCAGTGGCTCACGCCTGTAATCCCAGCACATTGGGAGGCTAAGGCGGGCAGATCACTTGAGGTCAGAAGTTTGAGACCAGCCTGGCCAACATGGTGAAACCTCATCACTACTAAAAATACAAAAATTAGCCCCAGGTGTGGTGGTGGGCACCTGTAATCCCAGCTACTTGAGAGGCTGAGGCAGGAGAATCACTTGAACCCAGGAGGCAGAGGTTGCAGTGAGCAGAGATCACACCACAGCACTCTAGCCTGGGCAACAAAGCAAGACTCCATCTCAAAAAACAAAACAAAACAAAACAAAAAAACAAAAACAAAACTGGAAGTAAGGCTTCTTTAAGTAGGCTTAGTCACCAGACAACCAGCAAAGAAGAAAGGCCTTTAAATTGCCACGTATCTATTCCACAGTTAAGACATCACATATTGTCTGCTGTGTTTGCTTGAAGGTTACTGCAGCATCTGAGGATCCTTGAGGATGTTTTCTGTTCACATAAAGACACATGATGCAGAAAGGTCATAAATATGTCATGTCATATTAAAGTAGAAAGAAGCACAGAAAGGCTCAGATATTTTTTACATTCAAGCTTTCTTTTTTAAAAAACAAAATGCTTTCCTTACTTCATTTCTTATTGCAAAAATAAGCCATGCTCACTTTCCTACTTGGAATTGTCATGCTGCTTCTCTCACATCCTAGAGAGCTTTAACGTCTTTTTGATAGTCCTACAGCCTCAGAATAAATTTCCCTCAAGACCATTTTAGAGCCTAAAAATAGCTATAGTGTTAGAGTTACCTTTTCCTTGAGTAAGAAAGGTAATCTTTATAAATCACTTTAAATTGTCCATTTACAACTAACTAGAACTTAAATCTCTATTTTAAAGTTCTTAAGCTTGCCTTATAAACCTAAATACACAAAGAGTATTGACCTAAACCCTGACTCTTGGCTATATTAACTCTAATTGTCAACTGCAGCAGCAATTTACTCAACTAAATGGGATAAAATCATCCAAGAAGAAAAAGAAGAGGAGGATGGCGAGAGGAGGAGGAAGGGGAAGGGAAGAAAAAGAAAGATGAAGAGGAAGAAAAATGCTTATTTCATGTAGTTTTACCTAATTTGTTTGGTTTATCCTTCACTTCCATGGAAATTTGCTTAGAGATTAAAAAATTAAATCTGTCTATAAGGGAAACATGGAATAATATTTCATCACAATAAATTTTAATGCACTTCTTCTTCATCTCTATGTATCTGTCTAAGTTGGTTCCTTCATATGTGATACTTCCACAAAAATTGGAAATTACTATTTTTACAACCAGCTCCCTCATTCTTGCCTTGTCCCTGCTACTGCAGAATCTGCTCCACATGCTTCATACAGTAAGTCTCATTTAAGGATAAACCAAAAGCTACAGAGTGTCCAGCACCTTCAAGAACAGAAGTAATTTCATCAGCTGATTTTCCGCAGATTATAACTGGCTTTCCTCTACTACCAACTCCAGTTTTTTTAACCGACAAAATCACACTTTTGTTCAAAAATAGTGGTTAGCCCCAGCAAGCCTGCATAAATCTATTTACCCCCATAATATATCTATAGTATTGCATTTATACTACTACCAAAGTGATCACATACTAGAAGAAATAGTTACAGCCTGTGCGTGTGTGTGTGTATTTTAAGAGATGGGGTCTCATTCTATCACCCAGGCTGAAGTGCAGTGGCATGATCATAGCTTGCTGCAGCTTCCAATTCCTAGGCTCAAGCAAGCCTCCCATATCAGCCTTCTGATTCCCTGGGATTACAAGCATAAGCCGCCCAGCCCAGTTCTAGTTTTTATTACATTAAGAAGTAAGGTTTTCAACCAAACTTTTAAAGTGTCAAGTATCAGGAAGGCACTTCACTGGCAATGAGGGAAAACAATTGGAGGCTCAGGCACTACAAGGAAGGGAAGAAGGAAGGGATGGGAGAGAGGAAAAGAGGAAAGGAAGAAGGGAGGAAGGGAGGGAGGGAATATAATAAATAGATACCTCATATCTATCATCTATCTATCTATCTATCTATCTATCTATCTATCTATCATAATATATAACTAAATGTAAACAAAGTTCCATATTTTGACCCAATTAGAAATCCAAAACTTATATACTAAAGAATTTATATAACAAAAAGATTTTAAAAGGTCTGGTTGGCTTTTGTGCTTCTACAACACAGGTTTTAACTTAACTTTAGCATTTGTTACAATACACCAGTTGACAAAACTTCATGGATTTAATCAACACTGGGCTCAAATTATAGTCATTCATGGGAATCACATGAAATTTAAACACTGTGCTTCCCTATGATCTTGAGAAGGTAACTAAATATAATATAAAGAAAAAAATGGGTATGTCTCACTTTAACTATAGCCTTGCCTAAATTTCCCATAGTCAGAGTATCCATTGCTGTTTATATTGGGCATATATACTCTGATAAATTAAAATTAAAATAAGTTTATAGTGGTTACAAACTGCCTTGATAAAATGTGACACTGTGAACCCCCAGTTAAAATAGTTAATATGGCCCAACAAGTTAAAACTGGGCCTTCAAGAATTAAAATGTATTATGTATATATATATAGAGAAAATCCAGTTAATAAAGGGTCCCCATTACTTCTACATTTGAGAACTGATATGGTTTGGCTCTGTGTCCCTACCCAAATCTCCTCTTGAATTGTAATCCCCACGTATCGAGGGAGGGGCCTGGTGGGAAGTGATTGAATTGTGGGGAGGTTTCCGCCATGCTGTTCTTTGATAGTGAGGGAGTTCTCACTAGATCCGATGGTTTAAAAGTGGCAGTTTCCCCTGTACGCTCTCTCTCTTGCTGTCTTGTGAAGAGGGTACTTCCTTCTCCTTCACCTTCCACCATGATTTTAAGTTTCCTGAGGCCTCCCAGCCATGCAAAACTGTGAGTCGATTAAACCTCCTGCCTTTATAAATTACCCAGTCTCAGGCAGTTCTTTATAGTGTGTGAAAACAGACTAATACAGAGAATTGGTACCGGGAGAGGGGCACTGCTATAAAGATAACCTGAAAATGTGGAAATGACTTTGGAACTGGGTAACAGGCAGAGGTTGAGACAGTTTGGAGGACTCAGAAGAAAATGGAGGGGTAGTGGGAGGGAAAGCATCAGGAAGAATAGATCATGGACACTGGGCTTAATACCTGGGTGATGGGATGATGTGTACAGCAAACCACCATGGCACACATCTACCTATGTAACAATTCTGCACATCCTGCACACGTATCCTGCAACTTAAAATAAAAGTTGAAGAAAAAAAATCCCTTATGTATTAAAAAAGAACAGAAAGAAGGCAGGAAGATATGGGAAAGTTTGGAACTTCCTAGAGACTTGTTGAATGATTTTGACCAAACTGCTGATAGTGATATGGACAATGAAGTCCAGGCTGAGGTGGTCTCAGATGGAAATGAGGAACTTAATGGGAACTGGAGTAAAGGTCACTCATGCTATCCTTTAGCAAAGAGACTGGCAGCATTTTACCCCTGCCCTAGAGATCTGTGGGACTTTGAACTTGAGAGAGATGATTTAGGGTATCTGGGGAAGAAATTTCTAAGCAGCAAAGTGTTCACGAAGTGTCCTGGCTGTTTCTGAAAGCATTCAGTCATATGCATTCACAAACAGATTATCTAAAACTGGAACTTTTATTTAAAAGGAAAGCAGAGTATAAAACTTAGGAAAATTTGCAGCCTGATGATGAGGTAGAAAAGAAAAACCCATTTTCTAGGGAGAAATTCAAGCTGGCTGCAGAAATTTGCATAAGTAAAAAGGAACCAAATGTTAATAGCCAAGATAACGGGGAAAATGTCTGCAGGGCATGTCAGAGATCTTTGCAGCAGCCTCCCCAGTTACAGGCAGGCCCAGAGGTGTAGGAGGAAAAAATGGTTTTGTGGGCCAGGCCCAGGGCACCACTGCTCTGTGCATCCCCAAGAGTTGGTGCCCTATATCACAGCCACTCTAGCTTCAACCGTGGCTAAAAAGGGCCAAGCCATTTGCCATTGACTGAGCCATTGCGTCAGAGGGTGCAAGCTCCAAGCCTTGGCAGCTTCCATGTGGCACTGTGCATGTGGGTGCACAGAAGACAAAAGTTGAGCTTTGGGAGCCTCCACCTAGATTTTAGAGGATGTATGGAACTGCCTGGATGTCCATGCAGAAGTCTGCTGCAGGGGCAGAACCCTCATGGGGAATGCCTACTAGGGCAATGCAGAGGGAAATGTGGGGTTGAAGCCCCCACACAGAGTCCCCACTGGGCACTGCTTAGTGGAACTGTGAGAAGAGGGCCACTGTCCTCCAGACCCCAGAATGGTAGATCCATTGACAGCTTGCACCATGCACCTAAAAAGCCACAGGCACTCAACATGAGCCCATGAAAACAGCCACAGGGGCTGTACCCTGCAGAGCCACAGGGGCAGAGCTGTGGAAGCCCACCTCTTGCATCAGCATGTCCTGGATGTGAGATCATTTCACAGCTTAAGATTTCATGACTGCCCCACTGGCTTTTGGACTTGCATAGAGCTGTGGAACCCTTTGTTTTGGCTGATTTCTCCAATTTGGAACGGGAACAGTTACCCAATGCCTGTATCCCCATTGTATCTTGGAAGTACCTAACTTGTTTTTTGTTTTATAGGCTCATTGGTGGAAGGGGCTTGCCTTGTCTCAGATGCTGGATTTAGAATTTTGGGCTAATGGTGGAATGAGTTAAGACTTTGGGGGACTGTTGGGAAGGCATGATTTTTGAAATGTGAAGAGGACATGAGATTTGGGAGGGGCCAGGGACAGAATAATATGATTTGGCTCTGTGTTCCCACCCAAATCTTATCTCAAATTGTAATCCCCACACGTCAAGGGAGGGACCTGATGAGTGATTGGATCATGGGGACAGTTTCTCCCATGCTGTTCTAGTGAGAGGGAGGGAGTTCTCATCATATCTGATGGTTTAAAAGTGGCAGTTTCCCCTGTGCTCTTTCTGTCTCCTGCTGCCTTGTGAAAAGGGCACTTTCTTCTCCTTTGCCTTCCACCATCATTCTAAGTTTCCTGAGGCCTCCTCAGCCATGCAGAACTGTGAGTCAATTAAAACTCTTTCCTTTATAAATTACCTGTCTTAGGGAGTTCTTTATAGCAGTGTGAAAACAGACTAATACAACAGCTCAATTTTACTTTGTTCTTAAACCTTTAAAAAGGTGGTGGGAGAGTTCGTGATGGATTGCTGTAAACTTAATGCTGTGCTCTCATGCATCAAGGCCCTAGACCCAATATCCAATATTATTAAGATTACTGATTCTATCCAATCAACAACTGGTAAGTAGTTTTCTGTTATAGATTGGCTAAGATGTTCTGTTCAGTGCTTATTTAAACAATCTCTCAGCTACAGTTTTCCTCTACCTCCAAAGGGACACAATATGCCTTTTCAGGCTATCCATGGGGTACCCTAGCAGCTTTTTTGTCACATGCAATCGTTTCAGATAAGATCTTGATGACATCCACCTTTCTCCAGGAGCACAAGTAAAACGTTACATTGATAACATCCTCTTTCAAGGAGATTAATTTGCCACACTCAATAAGGACATATAAGTCTTTTATCCCTTTGTAGGTCCTGGGGGCAACAGACACTGCATTTGCAAATTATACTTACAAATTATAATCAACAGGCACTCCTGCTAGTGCCTTCAAATGACTCCTTCATTGTATAGGCTTAGGCAATCTCTTCTTAGGCCTCCTAGAATCTCTGGACCACTTATGATGGCCATTAGCTGCCCCAGGGTTTCGGATGCAAAAAGACTGCCATTTTCAGCCTCATTCTATACACCATGAGAATAACAAATGCCTAACTACCTGCTGGGATGTCCTAGAAATAGAGGCTCTCACAGAACCTGAGCCTGTGACCCTCCATATTCAGCTGCCTGTTTTGCTTTGGGTCATGAAACAGCACCCACAAACACAGCATGGCTACCAAGGCCTCTGTAAGACCAGATAGATCCAAACCTGGAGCCTCTGGCATATTCCACTTGCAGGAGGCAGTGGCTTCCCCTGTTCTCAGTCTCTTGCAAGATGCCAGGTTGCTAGAGGAGGTCACCCCATCCTCAGACTCCTTGACTACATAGAAAGCCCTTTGGGATTACCTGGGTGACAAGTAATGGGAGTTTGTAGGCTACGCAGATGGCGCTGCCAACCTTCATATGTGATGGAGCTTGGTGGGATGTTGCTGCCTTCATCCCTTAGCCAAGATGTCCCTAATAAAGGACAGGACCCAGAAACAACACACTTGGCCAAACTTCTGGCAGGCCTCTTAGCACTGGACACCCAGGTCAACAAATGGCCCTATCTTCACACTTATTATAAATTATTGGGCCATAACCTAAAAATTGTCCCCTATAAAGTAAAAAAAAAAAACAAAAAAAAAAAACAAACTCTCAGAATTTCTTGCCTTGCACACACCCAAAATATAAATCAAAATCATATAGGTCTCCACATACACTAAGGCCACACTACAAGCACAGGCCAGAACACTCCTTATTCCCCTTCGAGTTACAGACATTACTGATAATACCAAGACACACACTTCACTCTTTAAAATACACACTGCTGGGCTCTTGAAAAAGAAATTCACTAGAACTTTCATGTCCCTGATAGGTGTCTGATAACCAGTTTAACTGAAAGACATAATGACCTCAAACAACTCCTTTCAAATTCCAGTTCAACAAATAAACCCCCAAATAAATTTCCAATTTTCCCTAGATCTTAGCTTATCTTTATAAATTTTCTTTTTTTCTTTTTTTTTTGTTGAGATGGAGACTTGCTCTGTCACCCAGGCTGGAGTGCAGTGGTGTGTTCTCAACTCACTGCAGCCTCCACCTCCTGGGTTCAAGTGATTCTCCTGCCTCAGCCTCCTGAGTAGCTGAGATTACAGGCACGTGCCACCATGTCTAACTAATTTTTGTATTTTTAGTAGAAATGGGGTTTCGCCATGTTGGCCAGGCTGGTCTCAAACTCCTGACCTCAGGCGATCTGCCTGCCTCAGCCTCTCAAAGTGGTGGGATCACAGGCGTGAGCCACTGCTCCTGGCCTTATCTTTACAAATTTTCAATCTCACCCCCATCCTCTAAGGGCTGGAGGCCAGCAGTAGGGCACTCTTGTCCTGGAACTCATTCACTATAGATTATCCTGCAGGCCAGGCCGCTGCTTATCAGATATGGGGCCTGTTCAAACTTAAACTTCCACCCAAAACAAAAATTCCTTTCAGGCGCAGATATACACCATTCTACTAAATGGTGGTCTTATTACTATTGGTTTTGGTGCTTTCATTGATTTATCCAGAGGCCCAAATCCTCTAGTAAGCTACTGTTCCAACCAAACATGGCAAATTCTGAAGCCCACATCAGTTCAAGCAGGTGTACAAAGTAGAGAGCAGAGAAGCTTTTTTTCCTGTAATGCACGATGGTGCTGCTCACACAGCAACTGAAAAAAGTTTATATGGAATCAGACTTGTCAGTAGCAGAAATTTTGAGACCAAAGTGAACTCTACTTAGGACTCCAGGAAGTAGAGAATATCATTTATTCACAATAGTACTTTATATTCAGTGGCCAGACTCATTTTTAACAGTGCTTTTCAGAATTAAGCGTTTCCTTGGGAATAAAAAGGGAGATTCACAGGCTTTGACAAGCAGCCTCCCACGGGCTTCTAATGTCTGATCAGAGATAAAAACTGTGAAGCATACTTTGTCATAAAATATCTGTCAGACTATGATTTTTATGAGATAATTTCAATGGGCCTTAAGATGTAGAACTAAGACATCTTTTTTTTTTTTTTTTTTTTTTTGAGATGCAGTCTCGCTCTGTCACCCAGGCTGGAGTGCAATGGTGTGATCTCAGCTCACTGCAACCTCTGCCTCCCAAGTTCAAGCAATTCTCCTGCCTCAGCCTCCCAAGTAGCTGGGACTACAGGTGCCTGTCACTACACTGGGCTAATTTTTGTATTTTTAGTAGAGACAGGGTTTCACCACGTTGGTCAGTCTGGGCTCAAACTTCCGACCTCAGGTGATCCACCTGCCTCAGCCTCCCAAAGTGCTAGGATTACAGGTGTGAGCCACCGCACCCAGCCCCCTGAATTCTTTCTTGTGTGAGACCCAAGAACCCTCTCGGGATCTGGATCAGGACCCCTTTCCAGTAACACTTGGACACGGACACAATGCAGCCCAGCCCTTTGCTAGGGCATAACACAGGTGACTTTACTCAATTCCCAATAACTCCACATTTCCCTCTGAGACCTTGTCAGCCTGGCCTTCACTGCTGATATTTCTATCAGCATGTTGGTCACAACCATCTCACAGTCTCTAAGAAGTTTCAAACTCTCTATCATCTTCCTATCTTCTTCTGAGCCCTCCAAACTCCTTCAATCTCTGCCCATTACCCAGTTCCAAAGCCACTTCCACATCTTCAGGCATCTTTATAGCAACACCCCACTCTTGGTATCAATTTTCTGTTTAGTCCATTTGGGGTTGCTATAAAGAAGTACCTGAGACTGGGTAATTTATAAAGAAAAGAGGTTTAATTGACTCACAGTTTTGTGGGCTGTACAAGAAGAATGACGCTGGCATCTGCTCAGCTTCTGGTGAGGTCCCAGGGAGCTTACAATTGTGGCAGAAGGCTAAGCAGGAGCAGACATGTCACGTGGCAAGAGAGGGAACAAGGGGATGGGGGAGGTGTCACACTCTCTTAAACAACCAGGTATCTCAAGAACTCACTCATTATCATGAGAATGTCACTAAGCCATTTATGAGGGATTCACCCCTGTGATTCAACACCTCCCACTAGGCCCCTTTTCCAACATTGGGGATTACATTTCAACATGAGATTTGAGGGGACAAACATCCGAGCCATGTCACCTGCTCCTGCCTGTAAGTAATGAGTAATAATGAGACATCCAAGGCCTTGGAATATAGTCCATTTCAGTCTGACCAGTAGTTCCTATTCTGGGGAGTGATAATGACCATGGTCACCCCTCTTACCCTACTAAGGTTGGCAATTTATGGTTCCCAGGGAGGACGTGGACTTTCTAGGACCCATCCAACATAGGGAGGGGAGTTTTGGCAGCACTCAACTAAGACGGCAGGCAGCAGCACACAGCAATAGGGGGTCTTCCCACATGGTGTCAGCCACACGGGAGAGCCAGTTAGTAAGCCAAGAGCAGGCTAAAGCTATGTTGCTGTGTCCCTCACAGTTGTGACCACACACCCTACTCACTGTACCAATAGTACTTTCCTCTCATTTGATCTTTTTGTGGGATTTGGTCCTGAAAAAGATCTTTCCCAGGAGAGTAGCTATAAAGTCTAGCCCTGCCCTGACAGGGCTCCAGGGAGGTGGTTGTGGATGTTTACAGTATGCTTCACAGAATACTTCTTTATCTATCCTGGCCTAATGCCTACATTTCCAACCTGTGACCAGGTGTACCTCTCACAGGAAGCTTGTTTACACTGGCAGATACCCTTGTGGCTTGTGTCTGACCTGTGTCCAGTTTATTCTTACCAAGAGAGCCACTCTCTAGGAGAGCTCCGACTATAAGGAGAGTTAGGTTCAGGTGTGTTGGTCAGGTGAGACATAGAGGAAGTGGGCACACCAAAACACATGAAATAACCAAAGCATTTTATTACTCACAGATCCATGAGAGAAAAGCAGTGCCCATGAGGGCTGACAGAAAGTCCAGTAACAGTATGGGATTCAGCCAGCAGATGGAAGAAAGACAGAGAACCCCTTATCTGTACACATAAGGGGTTGTACATACCTGCATTATAGCAGGTATGTACTATATTTGCGGAAATGCAAAGACTCAGTAAATCCTACTTCAAGATTGGTGGGGACCATGACAGGGGCAGAGACAACTGCTGTTCTGTGGTAAGCAGGTCTATGCAAACCTACCCCCAAAGGCCAAGGGTGCTGAGAGGCCAAAGAAAGAAGCAGACAAATTTAGTTTCTCAGAAAGAAATATTTAATAGGGACTTACCAGTGGGAGCCATTTCTCTGGTGGCCACAAGATGGTGGATCCCCACACCCATCCTGCAGAAAGTATTCTTTATATAGCAAGCTTTTAGGGTAAAACATGTGCAGCTAGTTATGCCTCAGACTTCCTTGTGAAATTCGTGACCGCTGGGCAGGTTAGGCAAACATCCTTATGAGGGGTTATCCATGCTACAGGCATTGTTTAAAGAACACTTTGGTATGTGGGGTCAAACATCAATCATCACGGCGGTTTCACTTCAAGATGGCATCACTCTTGCCATACAACAGGCTGTTTTCCTACAGCCACTAATTGGTTAAATATATAAGGAGTTAGGGAAATTCTCAGGAAGGAGGTAAGGAAGGTTGGAATGGGTAAAGTGAGAATATCATCAAAAATAGTGAGTGTGGGTCATGCCCATAATTTCAGCTATTTAGGAGGCTGAGGCAGAAGGATTGCTTGAGGCCAGGAGTTCAAGACCAGCCTGAGCAACATAGCAAGGTCCTATCTCTAAAAAAAAAAAAAAAAAAAAAAAAAGTTTTTAATTAGCTAAGTGTGGTGGCTCACATTTAATTCCAGTTACTTGGGAGGCTGAGGCAGGAGGATTTCTTGAGCCCAGGAGTTTGAGGTTGCAACCTGGATGACAGAGTGAGACACTGTCTTTTAAAAATAAAGTGAGCAGTTTTACTATGGAGATGAATGACAGTAGGTACCTGGCAAAAGTATTAATATTCGCCTAGTCCTGGGGACCTTCAACAGGATGACTTAATTGAATGGGATGGCTATCATGGTGAGGAACGGCTGTCATGGTGAGGATTTCAAGTCTCATATCAAACTAGAATGGCAAAAATTGGAGGGCAAATGGATCTTTCAGTATCTCTTAAATTATACCACATACACAGATGGTAGATAAATAAAGGGAGGTTAATAAGGGAAATGCCTTTAGCCATATATATGGTAAACACTTACTAGGCATTCAAACATGAACAAACCTAGATCCCAGTTTTAAGAACCATATATTACATATCCATCCCTTTTCATTTTGTTTTATTCTCATATTAGAGTGTAGCTGCGGCTGGGCACTGTGGCTCATGCCTGTAATCCCAGCACTTTGGGAAGCCAAGGCGGGTGGATCATTTGAGGTCAGGAGTTTGAGACCAGCCTGACCAGCATGGTGAAATCCCATCTCTACTAAAAATACAAGAATTAGCTGGGCGGTAGTGGCATGCACCTGTAGTCCCAACTACTTGGGAGACTGAGGCAGGAGAATCATTTGAACCCAGGAGGCAGAGGTTGCAGTGAGCCGAGATCACGCCACTGCACTCCAGTCTGGGCAACAGAGTGAGACCCTGTCTCAACAACAACAACAACAAAAAGAGTGTAGCTGATAAATAGCTACTAAAATGCTCTCCAATGTGACCAAATTACTATACTCTATAGCAGGCCAGTCCCTTAGCTAAATTATAACTGACTCTTTCCTTTGAGCTCTGAATACGTGTGACCCAATCATGCTCTGAACAGTTTATATGCACAAGGATGATTACAATAATTGCATTTACTGTAAAACAGGTACACCCTGTCGAAACTTATTTAATTCCGAATTACATTCCAGCCATTTTGTGTGTCCCTTCCAAAATAGAAGAAATAACATTCCAACTCTCATTAGGTCAGCAATGAAGATATTGAATTAAATCAGAATAGTGAGCAAGACAGTTTCAAGGAGCTCTCATTTAAAAAGGAAATTAGATGTTAAGCTGAGGAAAGGGGGAGGAAAATTAGTTCAAAAGACACTTGAGTTATGATAGCTCCAATATAGTACCATAATGACAGATTTCTAACCCATGATTAATTTAATCAGTCACATGATTAACCTGCCAGTTATGTCAAAATGAATTGGCCTGAATAATGAATTCTGAAAATAGTTCCAGCAGATGTGAAAGCAATTACGGACGGGGGTAAAGGAGGAAGGGAGGAGAGATTAGTTGAGAGAAAGGCCAGGGCCCGTGGATGGGAAGTAGAATTCTATTCACATGCCATTTCACTGGCATTACTTCAGCACCATGGACTCTTCGACATAGCCTCAATTCAATGTGCCTCATAAAGTAAGAAGTACCTCTAACTCCCAGCAAGTCGTTGCTTGTTCAGATTTGGAACCAGTTGTTTATAAATGCAAAATTAGCAGTCATTTATCTATATGCTGTGATTTTAAAGATACTGGAAGGTCCATTTGCCCCTAAATGTTTGCATTTCCAGCTTGACATAGGGTCTGACATTCTCACTATAATAACCCTTCCATTAAATTATATCATTCTCCAAAAAGTCTCTGGAAAAATGTAAATATTAGTACTTCTGCCTAGTACCTACTACCAGACCACCTTGTTGCCTACTGCCTAGATATCCTTCTACAGAGCACTACTGAATCTTTCCCAGTTGTCCAAGATAACTTTATGCATTTGTAAAGCCTACAGATCCTGGCTGGTCTGCAAATGACTAAGACAAAATAGTATGCATATTGTTAAATATGTGACTCCTGACAGAGATAAGTAAAACAGGTTCCCAGTCCTCCTAGCTCTTTTAAAAATTAAAGGTAAGACTGTTTGTGAATAATCAAATCTTGCAGGAATGAAAATGAAGAAACTACAACTATATGTAAAAACATAGATGACTCCCACAAACAAATGTACAAAAGAAGCCAGAAATAAAAAGAGTACAACTGTACAATTCCATTAATATAAACTTCAGAAATGGGCAAAACTAAACTATAGCATTAGAAGGTCAAATTTGGGCGGGGGGTGCGGGTAAAGAAATGTAAATTGGGATGAGACAAAAGGGGCTTCTGGTGTCCTGGCAATGTTCTATTTATTGAACCAAGTCATAGTTATCTAGGTATTTACTGTGTTACAATTGACTGATAATTCATTTTCGCTTCATGTACTTTCTCTCTCTCTCTCTGTCTGTCTCCCTCTCCCCCCTTTTTTGAGATAGGTTCTTGCTCTGTCGCCTTGGCTAGAGTGCAGTGGCACAATCATGGTTCACTGCAGCCTCGACCTCTCGAGCTAAAAGTGATTCTCCCATCTCAGCCTCCTGAGTAGCTGGGACTACAGGCATGCACCATGATGCTTGGCAAATTTTTGTATTTTTTTGTAGAGATGGGGTTTCGCCATGTTGCCCAGGCTGGTCTCAAACTCCTGAGCTCAAGCAATCTGCCCACCTTGGCCTCCCAAAGTGCTGGGACTACAGGTGTGAGCCTGGCCTGTACTTTTCTTTATATGTAATATATTTCATCTAAAATCATTTTTAAAAGAAGCAATTGTTAAGTCAATTTCATACATGGAATCTCAAGAGGTCACAAATAACCAAAACAAATCTTTAAAAAGAAAAACAAAGTTTGAGATCTCACACTTTCTGATTTCAGAACTTACTACAAAACTACAGTAAGCAAAGCAGTGTGGTACTAGCATAAAGATAGACATATAGACCAATGGAATAGAAAAGAGATCCCAGAAATAAACCCTTGCATATATAGTCAAATGATTTTCAACAAGGATGCCAAGATCATTCAATGGGGAAAAGACAGTCTTTTCAACTAAATGCTGCTGGGAAAACCAGATATTCACATGCAAAAATTAAAAAAAAAATGAAGTTGGACTCTTACTTTAGACCATATGTAAAAATTATCTCAAACTAGATCAAAGACTTAAATGTAAGAGCTAAAGTTATAAAACTCATAGAAGAAAATTTTGTGTCATTGATTTTGGAAATGATTTCTTGGATATGATGACAAAAATTCAGGCAACAACAACAAAACCAGATTAAGTTGGACTGTACATATAAAACTTCTGTGCATCAAAGGACATGATTAACAGAGTTAAAAGGCAAACCACAGAATAAGAGGAAATATCTGCAACTGACATATCTGATAAGGAGTTGATATCCATAATAAATGAAGAACCCCTGCAACTCAACAACAACAAAAAACCGTGCTTTTTAAAATGAGTGAAGGGTTTGAATGGATATTTCTCCAAAGAAGATATACAAATGGCCAACAAGCACAAAAAGGATGTTCAACATCACTAATCATTAGGGAAATGTAAATCAAAACCACAGTGAGATACCTCATATCGTTTAGGATGGCTACTATTTTTTAAAAAACAAAATGGTTATCATAGGTGAGGATATGGAGAAATTGGAACCCTGTGCATTGTTGGTGGATAAAATGGTGGAGCTGCTGTGAGAAATGCTGTGTTAATTTCTTTAAAAATTAAAAATGGAATTACCATCTGATCAAGCAACTCCACTTCTGGTATGTACCCAGGAGAGAGGAAAGCAGGGACTTGAACAGATATTTATATTCCTATGTTTGTCACAGTATTATTCACAATAGCCAAAAGGTGGAGGCAAGAAAAGTGTCCATCTACAATGTGATGAGAAGGCATAGTATTCAGCCTTAACAAGGAAGGAAATTCTGAGACATGCTACAACATAGACGAAACTTCAGGATGTTATGCTAAGTGAAATAAGCCAGTCCCAGAGGGACAAATGCTGTATAGTACCACTTATATAAGGAAACTTGGAAAGTCAAATGCACAAAGAAAATAGAATGGTGATTACTAGATCCTGGGAAGAGGCAGAGAATGGAGAATGATTGTTTAATGGGTACAAATTTTCAGTTAGGGAAGACGATAAAGTTTTGGTGATGGATAGTGGTGATGGCTATGCAACAATGTAGTTATGTACGGAATGTACTTAATGCTACTGAACTGTAAACTTAAAAATGGTTCAAATGGTATAGATATATAGATTTTTGGGGGGTGAGATGGGGTCTTGCTCTGTCACCCGGACTGGAGTGCAGTGGCACAATCACGGCTCATTGCAGCCTTGATCTCCAGCCTCCAGGCTTAAGCAACCCACATACCTCAGCCTCCTGAGTAGCTGGGACCACAGGCGTGCACCACCATGCCCAGCTAATTTTCTGTAGAAACAGAGTTTTGCCATGTTGTCCAGGCTGGTCTCAAGCCCTTGGGCTCAAGCAGTCCTGCTGCCTCGGCCTCCCAAAGTGCTGGGATTATAGGCATGAGCCACCATGCCTGGCCAGTAAATTTTATGTTATGCATATTTTACCACTTTTTTTTTTTAAAAAAGGCAACTACAACAAAGCATGGCCCTGGAAAAGAAGCTGTACTCTATGCCAGCAGTTCACAAAAGTAAATGAGGACACTAGACTAGTGCCTGGCTAGCTGTTTGGGAATTATTTTGGGAGCTTGGCTAAAATCCAAACTCTGGGACCCACATCAATATTCTAACTCAAAATATCTAGAATGAGTGGGGCCTGAGCATTTTCTTATGTTCCTTTGGCAATTCTAATATGCAGCCTGCGTTGAAGGCTGTTATTCTGCAATTTCATCATATCAGATTTAGAGGCAAAAATGTGATTATCTATTTTTTGTTTATAACTGACTCAATCCCAGAAGTACTAATTTTATATGATGAAATATAGACTTTTGGTTATGCTTTTATATGACACTATGTTAATATTGAGGAAAAGCCCAAAGTCTATTAAATCAAGGTCTGAAATCTTGGCTTCACTGACAGTTTTTTAAAATAATTGATTAATGTAAATATTTGAAAATTATGTTTTTAGATATATTTTAACAACTCTGTTAACTTTGTGTTGAAACTTCTCAGAGGTCCATGAAATACTTTCTAAGCTATCAGAGAAATGTCATCTCACATTTTATCTTGGCAAATGCTGGCATTCTAGAAATGTCTGGTTCTTTGGTCATAGGCATATCATAGTTTATATTGTAAGTCAGCTTCCACCTGAAATAATCGGTGTCTTTTCAGTGAAAGCATTATACAGCAATTATATCCCATTTTATCTACAGATTAATTCATTATTAACAGCTTTATGATTTTACATTATTGATCAGTATCTTTCTGAAGCCAGGACATTTATTTAACTATATGTTAAATCAAGAGCTGAAAGATGTCTCTGGGCAATTCTTGGTAAATGTCGACACACGATAAAATGGAAACATTGACCTGAAATTGGAAGACCTAGTGTGTGAGATTGTGTGCCACCCAGGTCCTCTCTTCAAGACTAAGTACTCATGGCCTCAGCTGAATAAAAGGGACCTCAGCCAAAAGGTTATGCCTCTCCCAGGAGTCAGCCTGCATGCAATGACTGGGGGGCTCAGCCCCCTCATCTTTATCTGCACATCTCTGAAGATTCCTCCACCTTTAGCTGCCAGGCTAAGGCTGCATCAGAGTTCAATTTCTCTGCCCAATCCTGCTTCCCTCACTCCCAAGAACAAGCCTTAATAAATCATTTGCAATAGAATCTCCATCTCAGAGTCTGTTTCCAGGGAAACCAGACCTGCATCACTTCTATTGTCAACTAGTGATGTTGACCATAGTAAAGCCACTTAATCACCGCTCCCTCTGTAAATGAAGCAGTCTGAATGAATGGGCTTGGGGCCGCCAGGAATCTCCAATGCCACACTGAACAATGTTCTGCAGTGGCAGAGACCTGCCCTTGGGTATCACCTCCTGTGATCCAGTTCATACATTTCACAACCAATCCCTTTATATGGCAAGGTGGGGAAATTCTGTATCACTACCAGGTGCCTCTTTAAAATTCATCAGTTTCAAAGGTGCTTAGAGCCTGTCACTGTATAAAAAATTTTCTGGGATGAATATAGTCCTAGGTGATCAACTCATATCAGTTTACCCAGGACCTCCCTAATTTTAGCACTAATAGTCCCATGGCCCTGGAAGCCCCTAGTCCGATTGGTCACCCTACTGTAGCTTTATATGTCCCCTAGTCCCTTGGGCTTACAAAATTAGTTACTGGCCTTATGACTCTGGCTATCTGACCTGTACACAGGGCTGACTCTCAGTCCAAACCCACAAGTCTAGGTCAGATCTGCTTTACATTTTCGTGGCCCTCTCTATTTTTCCTGGGTAGGACTTATCACGCTGTAAGTATTGGTTATGTCATTATTTGTTTAATTTTTGTCTTCTCAACGAGACTGCAAGTGTCAAATGGACCTATGTGCCTTGTGCGTGGCTGTATCTTTTGTGCTTAGCAGGGAGCCTGGCACATAAGCAATGATCAATAAATATTTGCTGAATAAATGAATGAAGAGAGAAGGAAGCAGGAGGGTAATGCCTGGGACTCACTCAGAGGATTAAAGACTAGGAAAGGATAAAGCGCAAGTTGGTCAGAATGAAAGTAGATGAATAAGGGATGGAGGACTGTATATATGTGCATCCAATCTTGTGCCATGTTTCCATTTTCTTGTATCATTATCACTATGTTGCTAAACTACTGTTAAGCTTTTGGTTAATTCCAACACACAGATTTGACACGTATTTACAATTTTTTCTCAGAGCAATTATTCTGTGCTTTGAATAGAGCAGACCCTCAAATTTATTTTTAAAAAGTGTTGTCTGAACAAGCAAGATGTGTCACCATGTTGAAGGTCACTGCATCAGATAACTTCCCTGACAAGAAGCTTTTAAGTTCTTAGGATCATAGCACTTTTTCTTAGCAGAGATTTGATCAAACTTCCCAATTATTCTTCACAGCAAGACAACTGCATATCTTGGTTCCCTCAAAGCAGTAGTATCTATGGATATCTATTTTTTCTCACTGGCTACTACTAACACATAAAGCGAGTCCTTCACTATCACCTGAAGACACACTGGAATTCTCTTTTTGCATATCCTCATGACGATTTTAAAAACCTTTTTAGTATAACTCTCCACTCACATAACAACTTCTTAATCTTGTTCTTGCTTAAACTGAAACTGGCCTCAATCAAAATGTGTCCTTAAAAAATATAGAACTTCGCCAGGCGCGGTGGCTCACATCTGTAATCCCAGCACTTTGGGAGGCCGACACAGGTGGATGACGAGATCAGGAGTTCGAGACCACCCTGACCAACATGGTGAAATCCCGTCTCTACTAAAAATTAAAAATTAGTCAGGCGTGGTGGCATGCACCTGTAATCCCAGCTACTTAGGAGGCTGAGGCAGGAGAATGGCTTGAACCCGGGAGCCGGAGGTTGCACTGAGATGAGATCACACCACTACACTCCAGCCTGGGCAACAGAGCAAGACTCCCTCTCAAAAAAAAAAAAATTATATAGTTATATATATATATATATATATAGTTGCTTATCAATAAATGTTACCCATTTCCAATAGCAAGTAATAGAAACAGAATTCATATTGAAAATGCTCTCCTTTTAGATTCCAATATAATAATGATTAATTTTGGAATGTGAAAATGCACTTTCCCAGTATGAAATACCATAATTGATTTCTGCCTTTTTCTCTGTTCTTATAGGTGACTTATATCCTTGGAACTTCTACAGTTCTATAGAAGCTGAATAACTTCATTTTTCAAGCTGAAAGATTATGTTTTATCTCATCAACCTATTTCTTACCAACTATAAAATATTTATAAAATTCCACTGATGAATTTGTTGCTCTAGCTTGTAAGATAAACCATATGAACTAAGTGATATAAGTAAATAAGTAAACAAGCCACATGATAAACAGATAATTGGTAGATTAAACAATTCAAATACTCTTTGTCCAAGCCTAATTTCAATGAAAAATTGTGATGTTTGCAGCTCCCAACCTCCTCAGGGTTCCTTGACTGAGATGATGAAGGCTTAAGCTCCTAGGAGAACAACATGCTGCAAGTCAGCAGCTCTCAAAGGATGACCTGTGGACTGTTGGGAATCTGGAAGACCCTTTCAGGGAGTCCATGAGATAAAAAATTAATTTTATAATATTACTAAGACATAATTTGGGGGTTCTGCTTCCGCCTCCCACCATGTTAACACTTCTATTGATATCACAAAGCAATAGCGAATAAAACTGCTGCCCCTCAGTACATCTCAAGATAGTGGCACCAAACTATGCTAGTGGTCCTCATATTCTTTACCAACATGTACTTACTGGAGGGGGAAAAGGTCAGTTTCACTTAATAGTGCCCTTGATAAAAGCAAAAAAAAAATTGTTAATTTTGTTAAATCTGAACTGTTGGGAACATGTCTTTTAAAATATTCTGTAAGATGAAATGGAAAATACGCAGAAGGAACTTCTACTGCATGCTAAAATAAAATAGTTTTGTCTCTAGGAAGAGCATTTGTGCAGTTGATTCGCGAGCTGAACTAGCTGCTTTTTCACATAACACTATTTTTACTAGAAAGAACAACTGACAGGCACAATGCTAATTCAGATTTGGGTATTTGGCAGACATTTTATTGAAAATGAACACAGTGAGACTTCAACTTCAAGGAAAACAGCTGACAATTTTGTTACTAATGATAAAATGCTGGCTTTAAAGTAAACACTAAGATTTTGGAAAACTTGTATCCGACACTAAGTACATAACAGTTTACCCATACTTAAAGACTTTTATGATTAAATTGGTAATAATATAACAAATGTGCTTTTTTGATATTGTATAATGAAATGTGCCAACATTTGAAAGATCTGCACAACTCAGGGAAAGGGTACTTTCCAGACAACTAATGCATAATGTTACAAAATCATGCATGGGTAAAAGATCCATTCAAAGTGCAAATTAGACCAATGGATTTGAATGTAAGAAAGTATAAAAAGATCACTAGCATGGGGCCAGGTGCAGTGGCTCATGCCTGTAATCCCAGCACTTTGGGAGGCCGAGGCAGGTGGATCACCTGAGGTCAGGAGTTCGAGACCAGCCGGGCCAACATGGTGAAACCCCATCTTTACTAAAAAGACAAAAATTAGCTGGGCATGGTGGCGAGCACCCATAATCCTGGCTACTCGGGAGGCTGAGGCAGGAGAATTGCTTGAACCTGGAAGGTGGAGGTTACAGTGAGACGAGATCACACCACTGCACTCTAGCCTGGGCAGCAGAGCAAGACTGCATCTCAAAAAAAAAAAAAAAAAAAAAAGATCACTGGTATGGTTTTACATTCCACATTGCAACTAATCTTTAAGAAACTACCACTTACCAAATTTTGGTGAAATTTCAAAGAACAAGATCAATAATTATCTGACAAGCTATTAAAATACTCCTTGTTCATTCTAATTTATATCTCTATGAAGCCAAATTTTCTTTATAGTTATATAGAAGCCACATTTTACAACAGATTGAATGCAGAGGAAGATATAAGAATCCAACAGTCTTCTATTAAATCGAACACTAGAATTTTTTTTTAATGTCAAACAATGTCACTCTTCCCACTAATTTTTTGTTTTGGAAAATATAATTCTCTTTTATTTAAAATGTGTTATTTGTGTTAGCATATACTAGGATTATTGTTGCTGTTTTTAATTGAATTAATAAGTAAAAATGTTAAACCTTTCTTAGTTTTAATTTCTAATGCAATACATATCAATAGATGTAACCCAAAAGTTCTTTGGGATCCTTAGTAATTTTGAAGAGTGTGAGACATCCTGAGCTCAGAAAGCTTGAGAACTTCTACTTGAGATGCTAATGTACTTATTTTGCCCAAGCCAGTTTGAGTCTGTTTTTTGCCATTTGCAACAAAAGTCAGAACTGATATAGGGGAAGAGGAAAGGAGCTGAGTTCCAAGTTTAGGAACATTCCAATGCCAAGATAAAGAATCAGCCTCAATATTCAGAACAAACAACAAGAATTCAGTGAACGCAAAATATAGGAACCAGAGGTGATTGTGATAATTTAAGCCTTCCTTGCTCTCCCAACTCAAGGATCTATAAAAACACTGGAAACCAAGAGGTCAATTTGATCAGGTCTGCCTGCCCTTCTTGCTTGTGTTCACTTGCTTTTTGTGTTTTGGGTGTTTTTTTGTTTGTTTTTTGTTTTCTTTTTCCACGAAGCTGGAGGCCTTGCCACTGAATGTCAAAACTTAACCTTCACTGGCTACTTTAGAGGTAACATTCATAGATCACCATAGGAATGGCCGCTTCAGCTGTTTTTCAGAAACTTGGGCCAGCTCCTGTCCAGTTCAAACTAGTGGAGACCACCAGCCCCTCAACTGGGCCTGTGCAAGTGCCTGAGGGGTGGTTTTTTGACATCAGAAGGCCGAAAACTTCACCCTTAGATTATGGTAACACCACCATTTTCTGTACATATGTCCTACAAAATGCCATGAACTTCAGCTACATTTGTACAGAATAAACCTGTTGCTTCATTTTTCCCCACTACCAATCACCTTTCTCCACACCTTAGACCACCCACTTCCCTAATGCATAAACATCCCTAAGCCTTATATTTGGGGAGGTGGATTTGAGAGCTGTTCTCCTGTCTCTTCAATCAGTGCCCTTGCAAATAAGTCTTTTCTCTTTTGTAAAACTCATGTCACAGTGATTGATTTACTACTCACAGGCAGAACAGACTTGGACTTGCTGGAAATATATTGAGGGCATTTTGGACTTTCTACCAGATTCAGAATTGAGATCTATTCAAAATATTAAGAGGAACAATGATTCAAATTGACATCTGGGTAACACATTGTTCAAATAAAAATTTTTTACCTATAGAAATTTGATTTCAAGAAATTATACCCAAAAGTCCATCACTGATGGACAAACCAAAGGGGGTATAGCTGCACATTGCAATATTATTTGACCATGAAAAAGAATGAAGTACTGATTCATGCCACAACATTCATGGATGAACCTTGAGAACATAATGATACGTGAAAGAAACTGGGCCAAAGAGCAACATATTTTATGATTGCTTTTATTTATTTATTTATCTGTCGAGATGGAATCTCACTCTGTTGCTCAGGCTGGAGTGCAGTGGTGCAATTTTGGCTCACTGCAACCTCCACCTCCCAGATTCAAGTGATTCTCCTGCCTCAGCCTTCCTAGTAGCTGGGATTAAAGGTGCCCACCACCACACCTGGCTATTTTTGTATTTTTAGTAGAGATGGGGTTTCACCACATTGGTCAGGCTGGTCTCAAACTCCTGACCTCAGGTGATCCACCTGCCTCAGCCTCCCAAAGTGCTGGGATTACAGGCATGAGCCACCGCACCCAGCAAATTGCCTTTATATGAAAGGTCAGAACAGGCAAATTCATAGAGACTTAACATGGACTTGTGATTGCTAGGAAGCAGAGTGAGAGGAGATGCTGAGCGACTGCTGTGGGGGATGGGGTTTCTTTTAGGGATGATGAAAATGTTCTGGAATTAGATAGTGGTAATGGTTGTACAACTTGTGACTACATTAAAAATCAATTATACACTTTAAAGTGGTGAATTTTATAATATGTAAATAATGTCTGAGCTTTTAAAATTACATAAAATAAATTATAAACTCGGTGTACTAGTTTCCATGGCTGCTGTAACAAACAACTATAAAGGTGTAACCTGTGGCTTAAAACAACAGAAATGTATTCTCTCACAGTTCTGAGGCCAAAAGTCTGAAATCGAGGTGTCAGCAGAGCTCCACTCCCTCTGGAAGCTCTATGAGAGATTCTATTCCTTGCCTGACAGCTTTGGTGGCTGCTGGCATTCCTTAGTCACATTACTCCAATCTCTGCCTCTGTCCTCACATTGCCTTCTTGTGCGTGCGTGCGTGCGTGCGTGCGTGTGTGTGTGTGTGTGTGTGTGTGTCCCCTTTGTCTCTGCCTCTTTCTTTTTCTTTTTCTTTTTTTTTTTTTTGAGACGGAGTCTTGCTCTGTCGCCCAGGCTGGAGTGCAGTGGCGCGATCTCGGCTCACTGCAAGCTCCGCCTCCCGGGTTCACGCCATTCTCCTGCCTCAGCCTCCCGAGTAGCTGGGACCACAGGCGCCCGCCACCACGCCCAGCTAATTTTTCGTATTTTTAGTAGAGACGGGGTTTCACCGTGTTAGCCAGGATGGTCTCCATCTCCTGACCTCGTGATCCGCCCGCCTCAGCCTCCCGAAGTTCTGGGATTACAGGCATGAGCCACCGCACCTGGCCGCCTCTGCCTCTTTCTAGTAAAGACACTTGTAGCATTTAGGGACCATCAAGATCATCTCATCTCAAGGTCCTCAACTGAATCATATCTGCAAAGACCCATTTTCCAAATATTCACAGGTTCTAGTGATTCTGAGGTGGACATATCTTTGAGAGTCATTATCAACCTACCACACCTGGGTTTAGAGATAAATAACTGATGTGGTATGGCAGCCATCCATGCGTGCCACTTGGATTTTCCTTCAAGAAATAACTTGCCTCTCACTCACAAGTGGGAGTTGAACAATGAGAACACACGGACACAGGGAGGGGAACATCACATACTGGGGCTTGTCGGGGGGTTGGGGGCAAGGTAGGGGAGAGCATTAGGACAAATACTTAATGCATGCGGAGCTTAAAACCTAGATGACTGATAGGTGCAACAAACCACCATGGCACATGTGTATCTATGTTACAAACCTGCACAATCTGTACACGTATCCCAAAACTTAAAGTAAAATAAAAAAGGAAAAAAACAACAAAAACAAAAAACGAACTTGCCAATCAGCATGAAGCTGTATATTAGATGGCAGCCTCCAGCTATATCACCTTCAGGATATGCCACATCATTTGAGCTGAAGCCGCATTCTTCTCAAGCAGTCCCAAGCCAGTAACTGAGTCTGGCAGATATATGAGAAGCTAGTCATTCACCCAGCATGGAATTCATCTCCTGGCAGTCTTTACGCCAGAGCTCCCCATTGGCTTGGCTGAGATTTAGCTCTTCCTCCTTAATCTACCTCTCTTCTCCTTCTCCTTACCTGCCTATTCTTATTTCTTCTCCCTTTTATATTTCACCAGGTTACTCTCATGAATCTCTTGCATTGCCAACTTGGACTTGGCATCTTCTCCCTTAGAGAAACCAGACTTAATCATTGATAACTGAGAGTGGTCCCAGACAGCAGATAGCAAGATGGACCTCGGGGATTAGGTAACTCACTTCCTCACTAGAAATGATGACCCCATGCCCCAGTGGCATGACTAGTCTCTGGTAGAAGGTAGAGGTCTGTTTGCTAAACTTTTACCAATGGTGACTCAGGACAGTATTCCGGTGGAGGCAACTTCTCTGGCCAGTGCAATAATTCAGGCAGTTGAGGGTGGACGATGCATACAAGGACAATGGAATTGGCTGGTTGTTATTAATTTGTATTGATGCCATACAATAGGACAATGAGAAATTGAAGGCAGTTAACAAACATTTAAAAACTAAGTATGAGAGCCAAAGGACCTCTCTGGCAGCTTACAAAGAGGCCTTTATCTCCTGCAGTGAGAGAACAGACACAGCTGTGGAGCAAATTCAGGGTAGCCAAACTTCAAAGACAATGAAAACTCAGCCAAGGCAAGTCTGTTATGCTAAGATCAGGGCTTTGTTTAGAAACTATGGGACCCTGAATCATGGGATGTGAATGAATCCTCAAAGACTTTGGCTCTCAGAACCTGCTGAGGTTCCCTACCCCTCCCTATTAAGAGTTAGTGATTCTTCCACGAGGCCCTATTTTGAGTTAGCATTTCCCCTATGTGAAAAGACCCCTCCCCTGCAAGACAACTGATCTCCCTTCAGAAGCTGACCCCACTTCTCACCTGGCTTCCAGATTGATAACTAGGGTTAAATCTCAACTAAAACAACTGGCACATACTGGCAATGATAAGACATATTACATCCTAAAGGAGCTGCAAGGATTAGCTAGGATATACTAGCAGAAACCATTGAATTGGATTTTGAGTATGCCTGATCAACTGCTGTTTGTTTAAGAGTTTATTGACTTAGGAGCACTTTCTCAGAACATGGGACTTAACACCCTAGCAAGGGAATGGGACAAACTAACTGAAACGGTGGTTTTATTTTATTTTTTGAGATGGAGTTTCACTTTAGTCGCCCAGGCTGGAGTGCAATGGTGCAATCTCGACTCACTGCAATCTCTGCCTCCCGGGTTCAAGAGATTCTTCTGCCTCAGCCTCCTGAGTATCTGGGATAACAGGCATGCACCACCATGCCCAGCTAATTTTCACCATATTGGCCAGGCTGGTCTCGAACTCCTGACCTCAGGTGATCCACCCGCCTTGGCCTCCCAAAGTGCTGGGATTACAGGCGTGAGCCATCACACCTGGCCTAAGAGTGGTTTTAAAAACCTGGAGAAAGTGATGGCCCATGCTGAGTGGACTTGCAATGCATGAATTGCTATAACAAGCAGGGGCGAAATAATGACAATGCAGGGAAATAGGCATGGTGGAATGTATGTATTATGTAGGGCCAGAAGACCAATCAGAGGATTATGCTTCATAGGAGAACCTAGAAGACACCTCATTCACAGAGGCCATCAGAAATGCAGTGGTTAGAGAAGTACCAGCATCACTAAGGAATTCAGTGGTGATCCTCTTCCACAGTCCAGGGCTGACAAAAGGAGAAGCAATCTCAGAGAGTAGCTTGCTAATAGCAGTGGTGACAATGAGTCCCTGAAATAGTACAGGCCAGGTGGTGGTAGAAAACTGCCCAGCAGAAGTCCGCCATAAGGATAGAAAAGGGTACACCTGGGATCAGCCCAGGCAGAACAAGTAGCACGTGTGACCTGCCTGAGGCGGTAGCGCAGGCTCCCACTTCCTTCTTTAGCTTATACCTACTGGTCATACAGAGGGTCCCACATGACCAGCTGAAGTCAGAAGAGACAGCCTGAGCTTCATTTGTAAATGTGTTGGCTCTGTTTGTGTGTAAAAGCTGAAAATAAATGAGGCTGCTTTACAATCCCCTTCAGGACTGCCCTTGAAAAAGAGTAGGGAGAGACAATCTTTCCAATGACAGAAGCTTCACCAGGTACACTTGGTCATTCACTTTGTGTGGAAAGAGAGGTGATCTGACATAAGAATACATATGGAATCATGGGCAGTAATTAATGGCGCAGGAGGCTGGTCAAGGGCCTAGAAAGCAAATTCTGAGAGACTGATGCAAAGAATTCTGGAGTAGGGGCAAGTGGGTGGACGTATGGAGATGAGCACAAAGTGTAAATTGTTGTATCACACATTAATGCCCACCAGAAAGCATGTACCAGAGAAGAGGCAACAAGCAACCAAGTAGATAAAATGGCTCAGCCAGTTGACATTAGCCAGCCTTCATTATCCATCACTTAAGAACTGGAAAGGGCTGGGTGCGGTGGTTCACGCCTGTAATCCCAGCACTTTGGGAGGCCAAGGTAGGCAGATCACCTGAGGTCAGAAGTTCGAGAACAGCCTGACTAACAAGGTGAAATCCCATCTCTACTAAAAGTACAAAAATTAGCCAGGCATGGTGGCACATGCCTGTAGTCCCAGCTCATCAGGAAGCTGAGGCAGGGGAATCACTTGAACCCAGAGGTGGAGGTTGCAGTGAGCCAAGATCAGGCCACTGCACTCTAGCCTGAGTGACAAAGTGAGACTCCATCTCAAAAAATAAAATAAAATACAACTGAAACGACTGGCATGCAAATGGAGTAGTTACCCTGGCAAAGATGGGGAAACATATGGACCCAACAGCATAGACAACAGCATTTACTCGCCAGCGCTCATCTAGGTACTGTTATCACTGAATGTCTAATCTGCCAACAATAGACACCAATATTGAACCCATGAGATGGCACTGTTCCTCGAGGGGACCAACTAGCCATTTCTGGCCAAACTGACTACATTGGACCTCTTATGTCATGGAAGGACCATTGATTTGTTCTCTCAGGAATAAACACTTACTTCAAATAAGGGCTTGTCTTTCCTGCCTACACCTTTCCTGCCAGCACCATGATCTGGGGGCTTACAGAAGCTAATCTGCAGGCATGAAATCACGCACAACATAGCGTCCAACCTACTTTATAGCAAAGGAAGTAGAGTAGTGGGTCCATGACCATGGGATCCTCTGGTCATACCAGACACAATGCCATCCAAAATGCAACCAGGCTGCTAGAGCTGGCTGGCTGGTGAGATGACCTGCCAAGACCCAAGCTGAGGGGCAACACTGTAGCAAACCCTGAAGAAGCTGCTCCCGATATGTGTGTGGAGAAGTGGATCTGCTTGGCATCGGAGGACTGTGGTAACCACGAAGTGCACCTCGTGGATCTCCCTTCAAGAACTTGAAGTATAAGGGCTCAGCCCATGATCCTCCTGGATAGCCCCCAGCTAATGACTGAGCCATTGCTGCCCGAGATGGAACTCATCTATGGGAAATCTTTATACCGGAGCTTTCTGGTGGGCTGGCTGAGACTTTCTCAGACAGGCACCATAGTCTGTGGCTCTTCCCACACAACCCTCTTTCTTTCCCCCATCTCCTTTCATAGGCATCAGACTTGCACTGCATCTGAAGACTTCCTCTGCCTCCTCTCGTTCCTCCTTCTTTCTAGTTCCCAGGCAGTTTTGACAGGTGTCTTTCACAATACAGCTCTTGCATGTCTAACCCATCCCAGTGTCTCCTTCCTGGAGGGCCTAAACTGACACGTGATCGATTTTTCTTACCAGCCAATCTAATAAAATTAACTTATATTTCTTACTTCACCATCACCCCACCAATGGGCTTCTATATAACAACACACAATGAAGTACTCATTAAGGATCTCAATTTGTACTGTTAGCTACAATACCTGCAATAGGCCTAAAGTCACTAATTCATTCATTCAACAATTATTTATGAAGTATCTACTCTATTCTAGATACTCTGGTACGCAATGGGAATACAACAGGAACTAAAACACAAAAAAGTTCTTCTCTTCATGAAACTTACATTCTAATGAGACACACAGGCAGACAGACAATTAAAAAGATAGACCAGGCTGAATGCGGTAGCTCATGCCTGAAATCCCAGCACTTTGGGAGGCCGAGGCGGGAAGATCACTTGCGTCCAGGAGTTCAGGAAGAGCCTGGGCAACATAAGGAGACCCCTTCTCTATAAAAAGTAAAAAAAATTAGCCAGGCATGGTGGTGGGTACCCCTAGTGCTAGTCACTCGGGAGGCTGAGGTGGGAGGATTGCTTGAGCCTGGGAGATCCAGGCTGCAGTGAGCTATGATGGCGCCACTGGATTTCAGCCTGGGCGACAGAGTGAGACCCAGTCTCAAAAAAAAAAAAAAAAAAAAAAAAGACCAGCAGAAAGATGGAAAAGATGCATATCGCTTTTTATTCCTCAATGGATTTGCCTTTCACAGTATGACAGTGCAAACATCAGCCTCAGCTTTTTATTATGAACAAATAGAAGAAACAACCATATGTACAATCTCTGTTGCATTTTTTTTCGGTAGAATGACTAAAATGGAAAGTTATTAGAGAGTATTTTTAAATGAAATTCAATGAAGGAGGAAAAACAAACTGTCTTCTGCATAATAAGAAGCCAAAAGCTGTGTGGGAATTGACACCACAGAGTCAGAGGGAGAGGACACACACACACACACACGCACACACACACGAGAAGGCAATGTGAGGACAGAGGCAGAGATTGGAGTAATGTGGCCGAGGCATGCCAGCAGCCACCAAAGCTGTCAGGCAAGGAACAGACTCTCTCATAGAGCTTCCAGAGGGAGAAGAGGCCCGCCGACAACTTGATTTCAGATATTTGGCCTCAGAATTGTGAGAGGGTAAATTTCTGTTGTTTTACACCACAAGTTCCAAGTTGATGGTTGGTTGTTACAGCAGCCATGGAAACTAATATACCAAGTTTATAATTTATCTTATGTAATTTAAAAAACTCAGACATAATTTACATATAAAATTCACCCTTTTAAATGGTATAAGTAATTTTTAATGTAGTTACAAGTTGTACAACCATTACCACTATCTAATTCCAGAATATTTTTATCAACCCCCCAAAAAAACCCATTAGCAGTCACTGTCCATCTCCCTTTTCCTGTTTCCTAGCAATCACTGCTCTATGTCTTGAATTTGCCTGCTCTGAACCATTCATAGAAATGCAATCATACAAAATATTGCTTTTTGGTCTGGTTTCTTTAACTTAGCATCATGTTTTCAAGGTTCATTCATGTTGTAGCATGAGAGAAATTAACCCTTCCAGAATCCTTCAGTGTTAGGTATTTGAATTTTAATATATGTCAATTATATACATAATTTTATTTATGTATAATTTTTTTTTCAAGGCCAATTATAAAGAAAAAAGAAGTAAGCTGCCACACCAAGTCTATGGCCCTCAGTGAATCTCAGGAACTTCTTCTGTCCAACTTTGAAAATTAGGGGAAAAAGCAACAAAACAAAACTCATACCCTACAACAAAGTATGGAAAATTAAAAGCTATCTAAGAACCAGGATCTGGACTTAAAAGTCTGTGGGCTAATCCCACAGAGGAGGGGAGACCAGCCAGGTGAGAGAGTGGCCCCCCCAGGTCTGGGTTGAGAGGCCTCCCACACTGGGATCAGGGCCCCATAAAGCACAGAGCAGCAAGCAGGGCCAAGACCAAGGCCTGGTGGACAGATTCAATCAGAGGAGACACACGAGCCCTTTTTAGACTTAGACAATGTATTTCTTACCTAGAGAGAAGGTAGCCAAAAGTTCCAGCTCCCTGTGATCCTTGTCTCATACAACAAAAAGGATGACCCAAAACAAAGGGGGCCATATGATTGCCACGTGAGCTGTGGGACATCACATTGCTGAGAAGCTAATTCTAAACTTAAGGTAGGAAGTTTTATAGTCTGCAGCTGTAATCTAAGGCAGACTACTTCATACCTCACCAGAACCCAGGAGGCCATGAAAGACTCCAAAGAGATGGCCTTGGAGCCACTAATCACGGGCCTCGCTTTCTGTCATGTGCTGGGAGAATAAGGTGCTTCTGCCAAGACTCAGGTTAGCTGTAGTTCCAGCCTTTGCCTGCAGAGCCTATGTGGATATATCCAAGGTCGCCCAATGTGCCATACTGGAGCCATTCCCCTAGTGACCCCACAGGGAGCCTCTCATTAGGAATCTCATGTAAAGACAATAAACTTCTGGAGTTCTGTGTGTGCTTTCTTGCAAAGGACAGGAGGACACCGATTGTTCAACCAATCATACTCAGTAGGGACAGCCAGGGAGGCTAAGAATTCCTGATCTAGAGGTCATATGATTGTTAAACTGCACATAGTACCAGTTTAATTAATATTCTTTCCCACTTCCAAGACAAGGAAATTAGTGCCTGGGCTATAGGAATAATGACACCTAATAATACAGTCATGTGCCACAAAACAATGTTTTGGTCAAGAACAGACTGCATATATGATGGTGGTCCCATAAGATTATGATGGAGCTGAAAAATTCCTATCACCTAGTGACGTCATAGCCATCTCAATGTTGTAATGCGACATTACATTTTGTGTTTGTGATGATGCTCATGTAAAACTCATCATGCTGCCAGTCACATAAAACTATAGCACATACAATTATGCACAGTACATAACACCTGATAGTGGTAATAAGCGACTATGCTACTGGTTTATGTATTTACTGTGCTATACTTTTTATTGTTATTTTAATAGAATGTACTCCTTTTACTTAGGTTTTTTTTTGTTTTTGTTTTTTTCGAGACGTTGTCTCACTCTGTCACCCAGGCTAGAATGCAGTGGAGTGATCTTGGTTCACTGTAACCTCTGCCTCCTGGGTTCAAGAGATTCTCCTGCCTCAGCCTCCTGAGTAGCTGGGATTACGGGTGCACACCACCACACCCAGCTAATTTTTGTGTTTTTAGTAGAGGCAGGGTTTCACCATGTTGGCCAGGCTGGTCTCAAACTCCTGACCTCAAGCAATCTGCCCGCCTCAGCCTCCCAAAGTGCTGGGATTACAGGCTTGAGCCACGGCACCTGGCTCCTTTTATTTGTTAAAAGGTTAACTATAAAACAGCCTCAGACAAGTTCTTTAGAAGGTGTTTAAGAAGAAGGCATTTTTATCACAGGGATGACAGCTCCATGCCTGTTACTGCCCCGAAGACCTTCCATTGGGCAAGATGTGGAGGTGGCAGACAGTGATACTGAAGATCCTGACCCTGTGTAGGCCCAGGCTAATGTGTGTGTTTGTGACTTAGTTTTTACCAAAAAAAGTTAAAAGTTAAAAAAAAAGGAAATAGAAAAAAACTTATAGAGTATGAATATAAAAAAGAAAATATTTTTGTACAGCTATACAAAGTATTTAATAAGTGTGATTATAACATCAAAAAGGTTAAAAAATTGAAAAGCTTAGAAAGTAAAAACATTACGGTAAGCTAAGGTTATTATCAAAGAAAAATATTTTTTCATAAATTTAGTGTAGCTAAATGTAGGGTGTTTATAAAAGTCTACAGTAGTAAACAGTAATGTCATAGGCCTTCACATTCACTCATCACTCACTCACTCACCCAGAGCAATGTCTAAACTGCAAGTTCCATTTATGCTAAATGCCCTATACAGGTGTACTATTTTTTATATTTTATACCATATTTTCAATATTTTATACCATATTTATTTTGTTGGCAGTTTACTGATTCCACATATATGTTTTGAAAACTTACTATCAGCCAGATATTGAATCACACTGATATGGTTTGCCTCTGTATCCCCACCCAAATCTCATCTCAAATTGTAATCCCCATGTGTCGAGGGAGAGAGGTGATTGGATCATGGGGGTGGTTTCCCCCATGCTGTTCTTGTGATAGTGAGTTCTTACGAGATCTGATGGTTTTATAAGGCAGTTTTCCCTGCTCTTGCATGCTCTCTCACCTGCCACTATGTAAGATGTGCCTGCTTCCCCTTCCACCATGATTGTAAGTTTCCTGGGGCCTCCCCAGCCATGAAGAACTATGAGTCAATTAAATCTCTTTTCTTTATAAACAACCCAGTCTCAAGTGTGTCTTTACAGCAGTGTGAAAATGGACTAATACACACATGCTGGGTAGAAATTGGTGAGTAAACAAGGCACCATTCTCATGAAGTCTCTATGCTAGTAGGGAAGACAGGCACACAATAAATATATATACACAAGTGATGCTAAGTGGAAAGAAGGAAAACCATTTATTTCAGTAGGCATATTGACAGACACAAAAATGTAATGTACACAATAACTATTAACACCTTTAAGGAGTCTACATAACCTAGTGGACAAGGTTTACACATTTTTATTAAGAAATATATTTTAAAAAGCTTTTCAACTTTATAATTTTTATTTTATTTTTTCTTTTTTATTATTATACTCTAAGTTTTAGGGTACATGGGCTCAATGTGCAGGTTAGTTACATATGTATACATGTGACATGCTGGTGCGCTGCACCCACTAACTCGTCGTCTAGCATTAGGTATATCTCCCAATGCTATCCCTCCCCCCTCCCCCCACCCCACAACAGTCCCCAGAGTCTGATGTTCCCCTTCCTGTGTCCATGTGTTCTCATTGTTCAATTCCCACCTATGAGTGAGAATATGCGGTGTTTGGTTTTTTTGTTCTTGCCATAGTTTACTGAGAATGATGATTTCCAATTTCATCCATGTCCCTACAAATGACATGAACTCATCATTTTTTATGGCTGCATAGTATTCCATGGTGTATATGTGCCACATTTTCTTAATCCAGTCTATCATTGTTGGACATTTGGGTTGGTTCCAAGTCTTTGCTATTGTGAATAGTGCCACAATAAACATACGTGTGCATGTGTCTTTATAGCAGCATGATTTATAGTCCTTTGGGTATATACCCAGTAATGGGATGGCTGGGTCAAACGGTATTTCTAGTTCTAGATCCCTGAGGAATCGCCACACTAACTTCCACAATGGTTGAACTAGTTTACAGTCCCACCAACAGTGTAAAAGTGTTCCTATTTCTCCACATCCTCTCCAGCACCTGTTGTTTCCTGACTTTTTAATGATTGCCATTCTAACTGATGTGAGATGATATCTCATTGTGGTTTTGATTTGCATTCCTCTGATGGCCAGTGATGGTGAGCATTTTTTCATGTGTTTTTTGGCTGCATAAATGTCTTCTTTTGAGAAGTGTCTGTTCATGTCCTTCGCCCACTTTTTGATGGGGTTGTTTTTTTCTTGTAAATCGGTTTGAGTTCATTGTAGATTCTGGATATTAGCCCTTTGTCAGATGAGTAGGTTGCGAAAATTTTCTCCCATTTTGTAGGTTGCCTGTTCACTCTGATGGTAGTTTCTTTTGCTGTGCAGAAGCTCTTTAGTTTAATTAGATCCCATTTGTCAATTTTGGCTTTTGTTGCCATTGCTTTTGGTGTTTTAGACATGAAGTCCTTGCCCGTGCCTATGTCCTGAATGGTAATGCCTAGGTTTTCTTCTAGGGTTTTTATGGTTTTAGGTCTAACGTTTAAGTCTTTAATCCATCTTTAATTGATTTTTGTATAAGGTGTAAGGAAGGGATCCAGTTTCAGCTTTCTACATATGGGTAGCCAGTTTTCCCAGCACCATTTATTAAATAGGGAATCCTTTCCCCATTGCTTGTTTTTCTCAGGTTTGTCAAAGATCAGATAGTTGTAGATATGCGGGGTCTTTTTTCCAGTTTTTCTTTATTGATATTATCTATTTGGTTAAGCATTGTTCTCATATTTTAATTCTTTAGACCTGGTTTCCTTTAGACTTTATTTTTATGTATATATTAATATTTATAATTTTTTTGAGAGAGGATCTCACTCTGTTGTGCAGGTTGGAGTGCAGTGGTGCAATCACAGCTCACTGCAGCCTCAACTTCCTAGGCTCAAACGATCCTCCCACCTCAGCCAGCAGAGTACCTGGGACCACAGGCATGCATGATGGGGTTTCACCATGTTGCCCAGGCTGGTCTTGAACTCCTAGGCTCAAAGCAATCCACCCACCTCAGCCTCCCAAAGTACTGGGATTACAGGCATGAGTCACTGCACCTAGTCTACAATATTTTTATATTTATCCTATAAATAACGTATATTTAATAGCTGGTTTAAAGTATTTGTAAGACCAACAATTAGACCTCTCAGGGATAGTTTCTATTGACAGTTCTTTTCCTGTGTATAGGTCATGCTTTCCTATTTCTTTGCATATTTCAATATTTTTAATTGAAAACTAAGTATTTTAGATAATATAATGTAAAAACTCTGGAAATCAGATATCCCCCACCCTTAGGGTCTGTTGTAATTGCTGTTTTGTTGTTTCTGCTGCTGCTATTTGTTAGCATAGTGACCTTCCAGGACTAATTCAATAGTCTTTATTCCCTGTACTGTACAACCACTAAAGTCTCTGCTCAGTTAACTTAGTGGTCAGCTAATGATTCGACAGACATTTCCTTAAATTCTGTGAATCAATAAATATTCCATTCTTTGCTGAGAAGCTCTAGATGTATCCATGTGTGTTAAGACATGCCCTCAACATTCAGGCAGCTTAGAACTCTGCCTTAGCCTTCACTTCCTACTTGCACAGAAACTCCAATCAGCCAGAGGTGAAAGAGTAGGGCCCTCTCAGGTCTTTCCCAGGCATGCACACAGCTTTTCACATTTATGCAACCTTTTAGGTCCCCAGGAATGTATCAGAGCTTTTCAAAGACCCTGTGGACTGCTTGTTCCCCAGATTTTTTTTTCAAGTTTTGACCAGGCTCTTGTTTGTCCCATCTGGTATCACAGTGTCAAACCACAGAAGTGAAAATAACCAATGTGGGAGAAATTTTAGGTAAATATTCAATAAACCTTTGTGTTAGGATATGGTGCCAAGAAAAGTGAGGAGACAGAAATGATGCTGAGCCTCCTGTGTCATTCTCCCTGACCTAACTGCATTATGTTCATTTGGAGAAGTGGGCAATTCACTAGCAGAATGGACTCTGCTTGAGAAACAGGCTCTCTTCCTTTACTCAGGATGAACTCCCAATGCCCCACTTACCATCATGCACTACCATCAAGCAAATTTTTCTTGAACTGATTTCCACACAGTTTTACTGTGATTCAGAAGAAAAAATTACTTGGCATGAGATGTTAAGCCTTAAATACAATATAATACAAACCCTTCTGCACATCCAAGAAGAAGATAGATTACATATTGAAGACTAAATCTGGATCATTTTTCTACTGGACAGTGGGGCTGAGGAAGGAAATCAGGCTTCATGACCATTCCATACTGTAATTTTAACTCACAGAATCTGCACTAAAAATTCCTTAAGCACTTACACTGTTAACAAGTTCTATTGCTACAACACACCTGCACATAAAAGAAATGTTTACCCATAGTTTCACCTATGGCAAGTGAAAACAGCTGTTTTATGATGGATATGATATAAAAAAAAACCTACTCCAGAATTTAAATTTACACAACTTAAACTACATAATTTAGAATCAGTATACTCAACAATCTCTAAGAAGCAGCAGCCATTCTTAAATTAGCACTTAAAATGTAGTGGCCATTTTTCTTCAGAATAATTCTCATCAACATCTTTAGCTCAAAAGGAACTCACATATTTTCGTTTTGTTTTTATCCAGCCACTTATAACCATCCTCATGTTCTCTCAGATCTCACATGGTCATCCAGTGTAGCCAAAGAAATGTCCTGGCTCCAAATGCAATCTGGCAGTTGCTATTGATTACCCTGGGCAATTTGGGGTTACTGTGATTTGTTCCTCAAAAGACTGTCACACATTATTATGCCACATTCTAAGTTAGACTTGAGATCCTTTCTCTGTAGGAACAAAAAGAAGAACGTTGGAGCTCTGCTAGGTTACAGATGTGTTAAGTAGTAAGCACAGTATGAAAACCTGAAAACTATCAGTTATTATGGCCAAGTGGTTTCTCTGGTTCTATTAAGGCATCAAAGCTACCTCACTAACTCACCTAAATATATCCTAAACATAAGAAGGTCACTGTTTAAAACAGCAGTAATAATCAGTTACTAGGCTACCATTTGACACAGTGAAATAACCACATTCAAACTCAGATTTTCAGGTAGTCAATCAGCTAGTAAAATAGGTCTAGCTCAATGGATGATAAACACCACTCACTTTACTTATTTCATTATCTGTGACCAGTGACAACTCTTGAAAAAAAATAAATAAATAAACCTTCTATTTTTCCAGGTCAAAAAAGCTGACAAAATCTCAACTCAAAAACTTAACATCTGATGAATATACTAACTTCTCCTTAGGATGTCATTTTTTTGCTGTGGCAAGTGAGTCTGTACAACACTATCCTGGTGCACCAAACCAACACAGAGAGCCTTTTCAAAATAACACAAACACAGGAAAACAATCTTTCCTGACAATGATCAGAAACAGCTTGCAATGGGTCTCAGGGAAGAAAGTGGAGGGACTGGTCAATGCCAAAGAGCAGTATCCTGTGAGTGTTAGCTATATGAGTCTATGAATGATCTTTGAAAGCACAAGAATTACGTTGCAAGACCACTGACTTACCACTACTGAAATTCCCTCTCACACATATCAGTGAATGAGGGTGAGCAACCAGAGGCCTGTTTGGTTGATGCCTGGATCCCCGGCACCCACACATGGGTAAGCACGTAGTAGGGGTAGTAAATGTATGAATAAGTGATTGTCTTATCTATGAGTTAAAAGATAATTAGATAAAATTCACCATCAATGCTGCCAGAAAATGTAACTATTTGTTGATAACTCAACCTCAGTGAGAGCCCCCACTTCTGTGATTATGAAAACCTTTTTCCCTAAGGACCAACACTGGATATCTTCTATCATATTTACTCAAATTGACATCACACGGCTCCAGTTACAAAACACTAAGAATACAGAATTTTTGCTCCTCCCCTACAAAAGCAGATTATAAAGAAACATTAAACTGAGTTTCCACCAAAAAAAAAAAAAAAAAAAAAAAAAACTAGTTATCTTCAGTAAGTTTGCTATGAAATGCAAAGAAAGGCTGAGGAACTGCTCCATACTGAAGAAAATTAGAGTCATGCCAGTAGATCCTGGATCAAATCCTGGACCAGGAGAGAACATTCTGGAATAATCCCCCAAACCCGAACAAGGTCTGTGGAGTAGATGGTTTTATCAGATCAACGCTGATTTCCTGATTTTGATGGCATGTGCTGTGGTTATGTAAGAGAGTAATTTTCAAAAAAGAGTGTTCGCCACAACCAGTACACCATCAGCAGTTCCTGGCTCTGTGGCTTATGGAGATTAGAATAATGGGCAACTTGGATAAAATTCTCAGATTCCAATTACCTGCCAGCAACCCACTGTGAAAGCACTGAGAACACAGGGTAATGTGTTGACACTGAAAATGAGAATTCACAGAACAGTGAAAAGAATGCCAGGAAGGGTAGTAAAGGGACAAAAAGTCCAAGGGAGGAAGCACAAGCATCCAGGTATGGAATAAGAGAACTCTAGAAGGCAATGGTCCTGTCTGGTCTTGGGTCTGGGCAGTTACCAAGGATAACACATAGGAGAGGCATAAAGGGAACAGCTAGGCCCAAACCTAGTGGTTTTCTCATATTTGCTACCAGGAGACCAGGTCTGTGTTATTATTTTCATTAAAAACGAACTGTAAGTATTATTCTGCAATAAAAAGGAACAAAATACTGATCCATGCTACAACACAATGACAAAACATCGGGGTAAATGAAAGAAGCCAACAAAAAGGCCACATATTTTACTACTCCATTCATATGAACTATCCAGAAAAGGATATACTATAAAGACAGAAAGTAGATTAGTGCTGGCTTGGAACTGGGGGGTGGGAATGATGATTAACTATAAACTACAATATGCCACAATTTTCTCATTTAATATATTGCGAAAATTACAGTATCTAACTCATAAAGGTCCTTTGAAGACCAAATGAGATAACAGGTTAAAAGCTTAGAACAATCTCTGGCACTCAGCAAGGGCTCAAGATGTTCACTCACACACACCTTTTAACCTTAAAATAATTAAACCTGGAAATAAATTACAACATTCATGTAATAAATTATAAACACAGAAAATTTTAAGTTTATATTACTTAAAGATTCAACAACAAACTATATTTTCTTTACATAGAAGCCCTTTGCTGAAAATGGACTTCCATTTTACATTTTCACTGTAGTAATTTTTTGTTTTTTTTGTTTTTTTTTTGAGACAGAGTCTCGCTCTGTCGCCCAGGCTGGAGTGCAGTGGCACGATCTCGGCTCACTGCAAGCTCCGCCTCCCAGGTTCACACCATTCTCCTGCCTCACCCTCCCGAGTAGCTGGGACTACAGGCACCTGCCACCACGCCCGGTTAATTTTTTGTATTTTGTTTAGTAGAGACGGAGTTTCACCATGTTAGCCAGGATGGTCTTGATCTCCTGACCTCGTGATCCGCCTGCCTCAGCCTCCCAAAGTGCTGGGATTACAGGCGTGAGCCACTGCGCCCGACCATGATTTTTTATTATAAAGATTAGGGGCCGGGCGTCATGGCTCATGCCTGTAATCCCAGCACTTTGGGAGGCCAAGGTGGGTGGATCACCTGAGGTCAGGAGTTCGAGACCAGCCTGGCCAACATGGTAAAACCCCGTCTCTACTAAAAATACAAAAATTAGCTGGGTGTGGTGGCGCATGCCTGTAATCCCAGCTACTCAGGAGGCTGAGACAGGAGAATCACTTGAACCTGGAAGGCGGAGGTTGCAGTGAGCTGAGATTGCACCACTGCACTCCAGCCTGGGCGACAAAGAGAGGCTCTGCCTCAAGAAAGGAAAAAAAAAAAAAGATTAGGATGTTGTTTATCCTGGCAATAACATCTAGGCCAACAAACTCTGGAAGTCAGTACTACTGGTGCCAAAGGCACCTACCTCACTGACACACATACACTTTCTCATGTTTTCTTGTATTTTATAATACTTGCTGTGGTAGTGGAGGCTCCCAAGTTCTCCCTCCCCAGTAGGTGTCAAACAGTGATATAGATACAGCCTCATGAACTCAGTCTTGTTCACGGGCCCTTTCAATACAGGTACACAAAGTGAAAAGCTGCTAATCCACCACTCCACCAGACAAATAAATGGTTTAATTTTAATCCTTTGAAATAACTACTGCATCGAATATAATCTGTATATCTTTGGTTAAACTACTTTCTCACTGGCATCAACATTTACATTCTCTCATTTATTATCTCTCAGGCCATTATTCTCTTATTCTTCAAGTATTCCCAGAAAAAGTTTCTAACATGAAGAGAGAACAGACAAATTTCAAGGTTTAATAAATTTTATCTTGATAACATCAAAAACAAGTTTAGCTTTTACACTGCAATATAAAAAATACATTAGTCTTCACATTAGTTTTACATGGAAATATATAATTATTTGAATATTTAAATATAGCTTTTCTTTAACCAAAAAAAAAAAAAAAAAGTGTTACTCACAGCCCTAGTTACATAAATAATTTAAATGCACAAATGCAAAAACACACTTCACACGATATTGTTCACATACTGTAGAACTCAGGACAATTACAATAAAAATCTACGCAAAATACTGAACAAGAACAAGATTAAAATACTCATTATGGTCGTAATTTGACTTTTTACTATTAAAAGAATTTAATGCATTCTTGAACACACAAAAACATCAATTGTTTTATCTATTCTGCAAATTAAGCCAACATTTATTTAGACAAAGGGGCACATCTTGTATACTACCAAATTCTGAAAGTAATTTCCAATTTAATTTAAATTATAAGTTTCAACAATTTCAAGTTTTCAAGCTTGTCTAAAATAATGATTACAAGAACTTAGTAAACAAAACATTTCAAAAACTTTAAACAAAATCATCAGTACTGCACTGTACTTTTATGTCTGGTAATATAAAATTTAAATATAAACCTTCTCCCTGCCCCCAATGAAAATGGTACTTAGAAGGGCTTCCAATGTGAAAATGGTAACATTTTTACAACTTGAAATTTTAATTACTTGAATTACAGGAACTGTTCTCTCTGCATGATGTAATCACGATATGACACATCATAGGTACATAGTACACATTTTCATTTGATCTCTTGCTTTTAAACTTACACTGAAAGACTGTAGAATGTCTATTAATAATATTTAAGGGAACTATGTGTCTATTCCATAGGGAAAAAAGACACCAATACCCACAAATATCTTATATATCAGCTGTTTGTTTACTTCCTAGTCAGTAGGACAAAGCTTTGTTCCTAAATTAAAATTGGAGGATTATTTTGAACTACTGGCCCAGTGATCTTTTAAGAAATGAAAATATATTTGTGTATGAGGAGGCAAGGTTGAAGGAAATGAGATATATGCTGCTTTGCAACTAAAGACAAAAACATTTGTTTTTAAACATAATTACTATTTAAATTTAGAAGTAAAGAAATCACAAAAGAACTCCATCATAGCATACACACAGGTTAAATAATGGCCCCTGAAATAAAACCACATTTAGAAACCAACTGTTACACTATATTTCATTATTTCTAAGGTAACACATTTTAAATTCTGAAATCAAGATATGGTTCAACATTGACCTTAGTTTCAATAAAATATGGCAGTCATACAATATAGTTGTAATTCATGTTTCCTCTTAACATTAATGATAGAAGATCCAGGATCTTGGCTTAACACGAATGAATGACAACTGAATGCATCTGTACCAACTCAACCAGTGTCCCTGAATAAAGGTTCTGGATCTATTCTGAGTATCCCAGACTCAAACTGCATCTCGTTAACATCTTTCATTTGAACTGTTAAAATCTGTTAACAAATAGTTAAAGACAAACTAATGTATAAATACAGGTTTCCACTTGCAAAATGGGCCTCCACAAAGATTACCAGTTTTATTCAATTTTTTGAAATATTAAGTAATTTTCTAATGAGAATTAATGGCCTGCCCAAATATTACCAAGCCAATAATTTCAGTTCAAGTTATTAAAAACTGATATGGTAGGCTGGGCATGGTGGCTCATGACTGTAATCCCAGCACTTTGGGAGGCTGAGGCGGGTGGACCACAAGGTCAGGAGTTTGAGACCAGCCTGGCCAACATAGTGAAACCCCCAACTCTACTAAAAATACAAAAATTAGCCGGGCATGGTGGCGCACGCCTGTAGTCCCAGCTACTCGAGAGGCTTAGGCAGGAGAATTGCTTGAACCCGGGAGGTGGAGGTTGCGGTGAGCTAAGTTCAGGCCACTGCACTCCAGCCTGGGCAAGACAGTGAGACTCTGTCTCAAAAAATAATAATAATAAATAAACATAAAAATAAAAACTGATATGGTAATGCCTAAAATATTTTTAGGGGATAAGGCCACAAAATAACCTGGATTTTCATATTAAGCCACCAACTCTTCATGTAGAAGAGAGTAAAGGTGGTTAAAAAAAAGGGGGGGAATGCCTAAACACATGGGCAAAATTATTTTCCCCTTTAAGATCTAATAAGGCTAACCCAAAAAACCTAGAGACTGTATGTGTGCATGTGTCCAAATGATAAAAGTTAGAGACTTGCAGATCCAATTTAAATGAAGCAGGAGGAGTTTGTGCTATGCATAAAAAAAATCACCAGTTTTTAAAAACTGTATTAAAGATTATGGAATCTCATTTTCTGGAATGCTTTAAAAAGAAAGAAAACTTATATTTTGTTTGTATTCATTTAAGTCAACCCCATTCAAAAGTTGACATAATTCATTATAATTCCTTCTTTTTAATAAGTTTGCTATATTCATTCTCACAATGTTAAATTTGCTGGCATGAGAGAGATAATCATAAAAAATAAGAGGGATATGATTTGAGGAACAAAATTCTATATACGGTGCTAAATTATTTTGTGACATAAATTAAGATGAAGTTCTTCTACAGAAAATGTTGGACAAAGGCTGTTTCTGAATCTTAAAATGAAAGGACTCTAAACACTAATTTTAAATGAATATAAAAATTCTGAAAAATAATATTTATAGCAAAATAGTTCAAGATTAGTTTTCTCACCAAAGCTGGGAAAGCTGTGTGCACAAAGTACCAAATATATTTCAACTGAAGTACTGAATCCTCAACTAGCCTGAACACAAAACCAACTTCTATTTTACCTCATTACCTCTCAGTTTGTTTGCTAGCCGAGTCATCATTCTCTCACGTTGTTGTAAACAAGATGAGCTTCTCAGATCATATGCTCTCACAGGTGTAGAAGGACCTTTCTGTCGGCCATGGTAGCTTTCATCAGTCTTCTTCCTCCTTCTTGCAACGCGGCAAGAAGCCCGCACAGGTCGCTTTGGAGGAGGATTTGCCATAGCGCTTGACAGCTCTTCGGCACCAGCTGGTGGAACTGAAGAGTTCAAAAGCACTTTAGCTGTTCTCTTCGCCTTCTTTAGCCTACTGACAACAGATTTTTTCTTCTTCAGATACCTTCCAAGAAAAGCGCTCCTGGACTGATATCTATGACGTAAAAAGACAGAGTATTTCGAAATATACTTTCTAATGATATCACTTGGTTTGGTCCGAATCCAAATTGACTGTTTCTCTGAAGCTTTTCTGGGTTTTTGCTGGAGAATAATTGGTTTATAAACCTTTTTGGGAAAACCTAGCTTATTACTACTAGTTGTCACCCTCTTTCCATGAATTTTCTTTTTACTTTGACTTTCCAAAAGCTTATTTCTAACTGATTTTGGAGAGATTTTGACAACATCATGATTTAAAAATGTTAGCTGGAAATTTCTTTTCTTTGGAAGCTCACGAGCATGCAGAACCTTTGATTCTTCCAGAAACAGAGAAGAGTCACTGGTTCCCTGATGTGAATTAAATCCATATCTTGCCGGCACTGCCATTAAAGGCGCTGAAGCAGAGCCTTGTCCATCAGCATCATTATCTCCTGCACTGGAGTTTTGGTTGCTCCTATTAAAATGAATTTTAACCCAGTTACGCCTCTCAAACTCTGGTACTATTACACTCAGGGGAGGACTAATTACAATTTGCTTAATCAAGGGCTCATAATAATCAAAGATATTCCGTTTATATTTGCATATAAACCGAATATCATTATCCCAACTATGGTGCCTCATTTTAGGGAAAGGAAGGCCTTCACCCTCTTTCAGTTTAATATTTAAAGAAGAAAGAACACAGACTAAGGCTTTGGGTTGCATAGGCTTCAAAACTTTAGTACATGATGCAGGAAATTCAACTGTCCCAATTTTGACTTTCTTTTTGGTTTTTCTGTCATCCTGTAAACGTGAACACTTACTTTTTGGTGGGTCTTCCTCTTGTCTAATTATTTTTCTTTTCATCACTGGGTAATTCTTACAACTGGTCTGAGTACTATGGCTGATTTTCGCTGTCTGGCATTGAGAAGCCACACGCCCCTTTTGCTTAGGAGGCCTCTCTGCTGGAGGATGACGATGGCATGGTTTATCTAAGGCCACTGACAAGTCATCAATATCTGAAATACCACAGACAATATCATCACTCTCTGACACAGCTTGAGTTGGTGCAGTGTCCTCCTTACCTTGCAAGTCAGCCCAGGTAACCTTTTTTTTCCCCTTCGAAGAAACTTTTTTGGTCTCACAGTCATCATCAAAGTAACAGTGGAAACGACCTTCCCTAAACTCCTTCACCAGAGCATTAATTTTTATGTCATCTTCTCTCATTATCTGAGACCATGTTTTCCCCACAAATGAAGGAGGTACATGAGGCAAGGCTTCAAGAACTGGTTCATCAGGATTATCCTCTATGACATCCTTTGCTTTTTTCAGGTTCCTTACAGAATCAACCTTGAGAACAGAGCTTGACTGGGAATCATGGTTCTTTTCTTTCAAGTCAGAAGATACCTTCTTACAAGGGTGTCTTTTCTTAACAGTTTCTTGAGGCTGATCAGTATCAGATGGAAGAGGGGGAGCACACTGAAAATTCATCTCAAAACCATCCGGTTCACAGCTCACTTCTAGATCTCTATGTTTTAGCTTCGAACGTTTTTTTTTATCAGCCCTTCGATGGAGCGCTGACTTGGAAGAGGCACCAAAATCCACTGCAGAAGCACTAGACTGACAGCTCTTACCTTTTAGGCCAGCATTTCTTGGATCCTTCCGAAGACTGGCTTCTTTGTGAGCTTTCTGCAGTCGGTGAGTCGTTCGATGAGAAGTGTCTTCCAAATTAAATTTTCCTTTAGAACCATTATATCCACAGCTCTTATCTTCTGAATCAATATATTTCACCATTTTCTCATCAGGTCCTTGTGACTCGTAAGTCATGGACTGATCAGAGGCATCAACATTAAAATTCATTTCAGAACCACAAGATTGACAACTTGGCTCTCCCAGAATAATATAGTCCTTCTTCCGGTTTATTATTTTGAAAGTCTCTTTGCATTGGTTTGTCATTGAGGGAGTAGAGGCTTTACAATTACATCTGACTTCAGAACCAAAAAAGTCACAGCTCTTATCTTCTATATCAATACATTCTGTATTTATACAGCTGATATCTTTGACAGTCAACTGAGGTGGGTCAGTCACTAACTGAAGGGGAATATCATCTGAAATTACTTCATAATCACTATCACCGGGCACCAGATCCACAAGTACCACCTTTGGAAGGTGGGTTTCTTTGACTGATCCTGGAAATTGGTTAACTACTATTTGAAAAGGAACATCAGAATCATACATCATTTCTGAATCACTAGGTTGATCGGTCTTTTCTTCCATGACAACATGCTCTTCCTTCTGAAGGTCTGCCTCTTTGTAAGACACTTGAGGTTGGTCAACTTCTGACTGAAGATGAACACAAGAATGACATTTTATTTCAGAACCACAGACTTCACAGTTCTTATTTTCTAGATCATTATGATCCTTCTTTTGCAAGTTTATTTCTTTGACAGGTACAGAAGATTGATCAGTCACAAACTGAACAGGAATATGAGAAGCATAACTTACATCAAAATCACCTAATTTATAGCTCTTATCTTCCAGGTAAATATGGTCTTCCTTCCAAAGATTTATTTCTTTGACAGGTTTTTGAAGCTCATCTGCTGCTGCCTGAAAAGAGTCATTGGAATCAGAACTTTCTTCAGGACTATAAGAATTACTGCTCTTATCTTCCAGACTGGCATGCTCCTCTTCCAAAATGTGTGGTTGTTTTATCACTGACTGAAGAGGGATATTTGAAACATAAATTATTTCAGAATCACTGGGCACATAGCCCTTATCATCCAGACAAACATGTTCCTCCCTCAAAAGATTTATTTCTTTATTCGCCCCTGGAATTTTATTAGTTACGGACTGAAGGGGTTCATGAGAATCAAAATTTATTCTGGAATCTGTAGGTTTGACAATCTTATTTTCCAAGTCAACATGCTCTTTCCAAAGACTGACCTCCTTAACTACTTCTTCAGGTTGGCCAGCCACTGGCTGAAGAACATCAGAATCATACATAATTTCAAAACCCTTAGCTTCATTTCTCCTATCTTCCGTGTCAACTTCTTCATCCTTCCAAAGGCTTATTTCTTTAACGGTTTCTCTCAGCCGGTCAGCCACTGACTGAAGAGGGTCATCAGAATCAAAACTTACTTCAGAACCACAACATTGATTGTGCTTACCTTCTAGTTCAATGTGCTCCTGCTCCAAAATAGTTATTTGAGGTCGATTGACTATTGACTGACCCAAGAAACCAGAATCCAAATTCATTTCTGAACAACTATATTGGCTGTTCTTAACTTCCAAGTACATATGGTTTTCATTCCCAAGGTTCACATGTTTAATAGCTACTTTGGGTTGATCAGCCACAGATTGGACAGAAACATCAGGATGATGTATTAATTTATAAGTACTAGGTTCATTAATCTTATTTTTCAGGCCAATAACCTCTTCCTTCCATTGGTCTATTTTTTTAACCGCTTCCTGAAGTTGTTCAGAATCAAAAGTTATTTTAGAATCACCTGATTTACTGTTTTTGTCCTTCAGATTAACATGTTTTTCCTTCAAAAAAGCTAGTTGAGGTTGGTCAGTCATTGACTGAGGTGGAACATTAGAATCCAAAATTATTTCAGAACCACTACATTTATCATTCTTGTTTTCTAGAACATATTGCTTCTTTCTGTTTATTTTGTTAACAGCTACTTGAGGTTCAGTTACTGAATAATGAGGGACACCAGAATCTAAACTTGTTTTTGAACCACTGAATTCAGTACTTCTACCTTGGAATTCAGCGTGCTTTTCTCTTTGAAGCCATGTTTCTTTGACAATTACTTCAGGTTTGTGAGTCGCTGCCTGAAGAGGGACATCAGAATCCAAACTTGTTTCAAAAACACTCTTATTTTCTAAGTACATGTGCTCTTTTGTGTGAAGGCTTATTTCTTTAATGGGATCTTCAGAACGTCCAGTCACTGAATGAAAAATGATATTATAATCCAAACTTACTTCAGAATCAATAGGTTCATTTTCCTTATTTTCTAAGTGTACCTGCTCTTCTTTTTGAGGATTTAGCTTTTTAACAGCTACTTCGGGAGAATTAGTCACTGAATGAAGAGGGGCATGGGAATCCGAACTTATTTCAGAACCACTGGGTTCATCATTCTTCCTTTCTAAGTGAATGTACTCTTCTTTCTGAATTACTTCTTTAACAGCTACTTCAGGGTGATCATTTCCTGAATGAAGAGGAATATCAGAATCAAAAGTTATTTCAGAGACACAAGATTCATTACTTTTACTTTCCAGATCAACAGTTTCTTCCTCATAAACAGCTACTTCAGGTTGGTCAATTACTGAATAAAGAGGAATATCAGAATCAAAAGTTATTTCAGAACTATCTGACTCACAGCTCTCATCTTCCAGGTCAATGTGCCGTTCTTTTCCTTCAGCATCCAGATGAGACTGCTCAGTAACTGACAGAAGAGGCGGGTCAGAATCAAAAGTCAACTCAGAGCTGGAGCAATCATAGCTCCTAACTTCCATGTCAATATTTAACTCTTTAAGATTTACTTCATCCAAAGCTTCTTGAGGCTCATCATGAGCTGAATGATAAAGAGAAGCCGGAGAATCAGAACTCAGAGAAGAACGGCTAGACTGAACACTCTTATTCTCAAGGTCAACATCCACTTTCTGACGCTCTATTTCGGCTACTTGAGACTGGTCAGCTAATTGAGCATCAGCCTGAAAACCCATTTCAGGACCATGGGATTCACAGTTCATATCCATAAGGTCAGCATTCTTCTCCTTCAGAAGATTTATCTTTTCAACAGCCCTCTGGGATTCATCTGCAACTGTCCCAAGTGAGACATCACAATCAAGATGTGCTTTAGCACTACTGGGTTTACGCTTCTTATGTTTTAGGTGGACTTGTCTACCTTTCAGGTTTCTTCCTTTGACAGTCAGTTGGGGATGATCAACTACTGACTCAAGAGAAACATCACAATCAAAACTTGTTTCAGAACAACTCGATCCATAGTTATCAACCAAGCTGGTATGAGCCTTCTTCCGAAGTTTTGTTTCTGTGACAGCCACTGGGGGTCTGTCAACCACTGACTGCAGTGGGAAAACAGAATCAGCACTTACTTCAGAGCTACTGGAACCATAGTTCTTATCAACCAAACCAATGTGCACTTCCTTAGGAAGGTTTACTTCTGTTACAGATTGTTGGGGGTAGTCACTAGTGGACTGAGGTGAAGCATCACAATCAAAATTCGTTTCAGAACTACTAGATTCATAGCTTTGGTCAACCAGGCTAATATGCCTTGCATTCTGAAGACTTATTTCTTTAACAATCATTTGGGATTGGTTGGTAACCAAGTGAAGAATGTCATCACAATCAGAACTTATTTTAGAAACATAAGATTTATTATTCTTATACTGTACATCAGTACGTACTTCCTTGGAAAGGTTTACTTCTTTGGCACTCACTTTAGATTGGTCAGTCAGTGAATGAAAAGAGGAACTGCAATCAAAACTCATTTCTGAACCTCTAGACTCATAGTTATCTTCTTGGTCAATTTGCTCCTCCTTCCAAAGACTTAAGTCTTGTGCAGTCTCTTGGGGCTGATCAGATGCTGACTGAAGAGAGATACAATCAAACTTCATTTCAGAACTCACTGAGCACTTCTGTTCCCAAAAGGCTGTCTTGTTAAAAACCAAATGCTTTTCTTCTTGGGTACAATCCATGTTAGAAAAGAATTCCTCATGGTTCTTTGCAATAGTATCTTCAAAGATTCCTTTATTAGAAGGCATGTCAGTTTTATTCGGGTTTACTGCTAATTTGGAAGGAGATTTAACTCTTAAGGAGCCCTTAGTACCCATGCGTTCATGGAATTTCAAGCCAGCTGATAAAGTTTTACCCTGAGATTTTACATCTTTCCACAAAACCAACTTATCTGAATTCATGCGTAAAGATTTCCTATTTGATTCTTTATGTTTCTGATACGAAAATGAAGTAGTTTCTACATGGGATGATGGCACAGGATTTCTAGAGGCCCCATCTGGCTGTTCAAGATATTTCTCAACTTTGTTTGGGTCACATTTGCTAACTGAATCCAAATGAGCTGCTGGTGGTAAACTAGTTGTATTAGCTGTAACTGGTCTATCGTTAGAGCTTTCAGGTAAACAACTAGCAGGAGCATTACAAATCACTGGGGGGCGTACCAAGTTGCTTCTATTATTTGTAGCCTGACCAATATCTACTAGGTTACATTTTCTCACACTGGCCCCAATTTTATGAACAAACTCCAAGGGCTGCTGCTGTCCCTTCTCCAGTTTTTGAATAACTGATGGTCGAACTGAAACCTCCTGCGTGCCTTCCTGAGATTTATGAGGTCTGGAATGTAACTCTTCAATAGGTTCTGAAACCTCGGATGGTCTCTCTTCGGTAGCATCCTCATCCTCAACCTTATCCTCATCCTCTTCCTCTTCTTCAGAAAAAGCATCATCCAAATGCACCACTTCAGACGATGACCCAGTATTCACATGTGTCTCATCTTGTGTTGAACTAAAACGAAAGGGGGGAAACTCATAAACATATTCTAATGTCTGTTTAAAATATTAAAATAGAGGCATAATAAATGTTATTTGCTTTCTGTTCTGGACTATCCTTAAAGGACAAGGAATCCAGGCAGTCACCCCAGGCTGAACACTGCATGGACCACAGAGGGGGAATTACTGCAGAAGGTGGAGGTGGCTCCACCAATTGCTACTTAAATACAAATGGCCCCTAAACATGAAAAACTAAACAAATAAAATCATATATTATTTTTCAGTTATCAGAGTAGTAAATAGCAAAAAGTTTGACATATGTTACTTAACTTTGTATGCTTCAGTTTCTGCCTCCAAAAAAAGGGAATCTTACACTATTTTCCCTCATGAGATTGTTTTGATGAGTAAATTAATTGTTACATGTAAAGAGCATTAAAACAAAGAAACAGCTTGGCACACAGTAAGCATTCACAAATGTTAGCTATTATTATCTTAACACATTGTTTTGGTGCGGGTGTAAGGACAAAGGCACTTTAATACATTGTTCATAGGAATATAGATCAGTTAACAGTTACTGGTTAACCTCTATGTAGATTTGTAACCTCTACAAACAGCAATTTGGCAATGTCTATTAAAATTAAGAATGTACATACCCTTTGACCTCTAATTCCACTTTTGGTTTTCTCATGTGTTTAATGAACACGTACAAGAATAGTTACTGCTACTTTTGAGCGGAGGGAGGGGTAATAGCAAATGACTAGAATCAACCTGAATACTCAGTAACTGGGTACTGGTTAAATAATTAATGGTATTTAATGGAATACAATGTGGTTTTTAAAAATAATAAAGCGGCTCTATATATACAAATAAAAACCAATTACTATAAACATTGTTAGTGAAAAGCAAGGGTACACAGAAAGCTACCATTTATGTAAAATAGAAGGGAAAAAAATAATGCACTTAGAATATCTGGAGAATGGCACATACAACTGTAGAAGTCTAGAGGTGTCAAGTGTTACCTCTAGGGAAGTGACTACAGGATGGCAGCAATTTAAGAAGACTTACTTTTGAACGTGCACTGTGAATTATGTCTATGTATATGTATTTCCCATTCAAAATTTAAATTCCATTATTTTTAAAAAGACCCAAAACTTTCATATCTAAAATCAGTCTATGAATCTCTTCTACCAGTATCAAGACAACATGTTTGACCAAAGCATTTCAGGGACTGTTCTTTCATGTACATAAAACCAACTGACCTAATGATATTGCCATGGCCTGAATTCTTAAAGTCGGGCAAACATTCATTCATGTAACAACCATCTACTAAGGACTTACTACTGCATTACAGGCACTATGCTAGGTACTAAGGCAAATTCAAAAAAAGTTAAGCTGCCTTTTAAAGACCATTCAAGTAGCTGCAGAAGGCAGACACATAAAAAATAATAACAATTCAAAGAGATAAGTATCATCACATCTAGACCTGTTTAAAAAAAAAAAAAAAAAGATTAAACTGTCACAGCCAAGAGGGACCTAAAGAGACATTACAAGTTAATGTAATGTGGTATCCTGGATGTGATTCTGAAACAGAAAAAGTAGTAAAACTAAGGAAATCTTAGTTTAAGAAAACTTAGTTTAAGTAGAAACTAAGAAGTCTGAATAAACCATGGACTGTACTAATATCAGTTCATTACTTATAACAAATATATCACATTAATGTTAATAATAGAGAAATTGTGTGAGAGAGTATTATAGGCACACTCTGTACTATTTCCTCATTGTTTCCATTAATCTAAAACTGTTTGTTTATAAAAATAGCCTATAACAATTAAAAATAAACACCTAAAAATTTATTGAATTTTTCCAATTTGAGATGTCATTTGTCTAAGAGAACATGCATACATGTGTCAGCCATATGCAATTTCATTTTAGCCTAAGTATTACTATCCCATATAAATTTATTACCTTAATATTAATTTTGAATTTAGAAAATAAAGTTAACCCTGCATCAAAAGTATTGTGATGCAGCAAAAAACAATTCTAATTTTTCATACTTCTCAACAATGACACTGCAGTGCAACAATCACTTCACTCTAGTTTTTCAGAACCCTAAACTATCTTCATTTGTCTTAAGGACTATCACAACATTCTCAAAATAAAACCAATTGTGCAATATGTAGCTAAGAAAAGAAAGAAAAGGGAAAAAAGAAAAGAAGGTATAATCATAAAATCATACAGCTGGTAAAATCCCAAGAAGGTCATGAACTGCCATCTGGATGCTTTGATCTGCATCTGTATTTGTGTGTGTATAATATGCTTAACAATTAAATCATAATCCACATTTAACTCATCATTTGTAACCACACAACAACAAAAAAAGCTCTCTAAAAATCTAACCATTAAAGATTAAAAACCACTCTTTTGGCCAGGTGTGGTGGTTCATGCCTGTAATCCCCCCACTTTGGAAGACTCAAGTGAGAGGATCACTTGAGGCCAAGAGTTTGAGACCAGCCTTGGCAACATAATGAGATCCTGTTTCTACAAAAAATTTAAAAAATAAGCCAGGCATGGTGGTACATGTCTATAGTCCCAGATACTCAAGAGGCTGAAGCAGGAGGATCACTTGAGCCCAGGACTTTGAGACTACAGTGAGCTATAATCACACCCTGCACTCCAGCCTGGGCCACAGAGTGAGACCTACAAACGAACAAAAAACAGCTAAACTCTTGAGCTAAAAAGAAAAACTCTTGAGCTAAAAAAAAAAAACATTTTTTAAATTATCTAAAAGAAATAAAAACTATGAGATATGGCCAAAATAAAAACATCATATTTTTAAATACTTCCATTAAGAAAAGAATTCATAAATACAACTGGGCACCCAATTTAAGACGAAAAAGATAACAACCAAATTGCCCCCATAAAAAGGTAGACGAAATACATGAAGAAAAGGAAAAAATTAATGAAGATGAAACAAAAATAAAGCAAGAACTGATTTTCAGGAGAGCTAAAATAGAAAAATTTACAATGTCTAGACAAGGGGGAAACAGAAAGGAAATGTTTTAAAATCATAAATCCTATAAGTTAGAAAGTTTATACATACATAATAAAATAATGTACTATTGGCATGGGATTTTTTTTAAATCAAGGAAACAAAATGGTATTCAAAATGAGATATACACACACACATATACACAAATACAAGAACTCGGGTTATGACACAGGTGGTGACATTTTATATCAGCAAGGATAATTAGAGATACAAGAAGTCCTGCCTCACACCACATATAAAAACAAACTCCAAGATGGTTATAAATATTTAAAAGAAAAAACAAAGGCATGAAGAAAAAGGCATAAAAGAAGCCATAAAGAAAAATTCTCCTTACATCTGATTAAATCAAAAATTTTAATTTCTGTATAATAAAGAATAACATATACAGTTAAAAGACAAACAATTAGGTTCTGAAAAAAATCTGTAACACATTTAAAATACAAAGGATATTACTCATACTCAAATATTTCTTACAAAGCCAAAATATACAAAGAACTCCATAGAAAAATGGGCAAAGTATATTAACAAACATATCATAGAATAAAATATGGCCAATCAGTATACAAAAAAGTTCTACCTGAAAATAGATAATATGGGATTATCAGTATGTATATCTACACATTTTTGGCCTATTAGGTTGGGAGGGAAAAAAGAAGCTGATAATCCCAGTGTTAGCAACAGTGACAGGAAACGAGCATTCTCTTATGCTGCTGGTGTGAGTATAAATTGGTATAGCCTTCTAGGAAGTGTCTAGCAAGGACTTCAAATGTTCATACACAATTTGAGCAACAAAATAAATAATAAATAGTAACAAATTAAAACCCATAGAATAAAGGAAATATCCATGAGTCTATAATGATATAAATAAGTATTAAATACTTGAATAAGTGAAAGAACAAGTGAAGATCTCCTTTATGGTAGAATTTTGATCAAAGAATCATTAATGGTTGCATAAAATCAGTGGGCAAAAGTAAGATAAGAAACAAGGTATTTACATAGTCTCAAAGTTCTTCCCCATACGATCCTTATTAATTAGGAAAAACAGTAACTTCACAGTGGAGTAACTTGGCAGACAGTAGTACCTTAATCAAGTGGCTCAAGCTAACATCACCCAAAATGACACGGCAACATTATGTGTCTCCTGATGCTACACACTGAGAAGGGCACATCGATTCTAAGATATTCACGCCCAAAATGCATAACCGAAGTTTAATCATAAGAAAATATCAGGCAGACACAAATTGAAGGCTATCCTATAAATTAACTGGCCAGTACTCTATAAATAAAGTATCATGGTCTTAAAAACAAAGACAAACTGAGGAACTATTTAAGATAAAGGAAAACTAAGGAGATGCTGACAACGAAATGCAACGTGTGATTGTGGACTGGTTCCTGGTCCAAGAAATGGACATGAGTTAAGACAACCAACAAAATTTAAACAAGGTCTACAGATTAGCTGTTAGTATGGTATCAATGTAATTTCTTGGTTTTTGGTTTTTGTGTTTTTAAAACTGGCTCCCTCTGAGCAGGGTTCAGGGAATTTTTTGCTTTGGGTTTGTTTGTTTGTTTGTTTTGAGACCAAGTTTCGCTCTTGTTGCCCAGGCTGGAGTGCAATGGCACAATCTCAGCTCACCGCAACCTCCGCCTCCAGGGTTCAAGCAATTCTCCTGCCTCAGCCTCCCTACTAGCTGGGATTACAGGCATGCACCACCATGCCCGGCTAATTTTTTGTATTTTTAGTAAAGGCAGGGTTTCTCCATGTTGGTCAGGCTGGTCTCAAACTCCCGACCTCAGGTGATCCGCCCGCCTCGGCCTCCCAAAGTGGTAGGATTACAGGCGTGAGCCACTGCGTCCAGCTTGGGGCTTGTTTTTTTTTTTAGAGGCCAAGACAGGCCTCACTATGTTGCCCAGGCCGGATGCATCTATTCACGGGCGGGGGGGAGGTCAAAGTACACTGCAGCCTCCAACTCCTGTAGTCAAGTGATCCTCCTACTGCATTTGTAGTTTCCTAGTTTTTATCATTGTACTGTGGTTTTTTAAAATCTTTTTTTAAGAAGGAGTCTAGCTCTGTCACCCAGGCTGGAGTGCAGTTCAAGGAATTCTTCTGCCTCAGCCTCCCGAGTAGCTGGGACTACGGGTGTGTGCCAACATGCCTAGCTAATTTTTGTATTTTTAGTAGAGACAGGGGTTTCACCATGTTGGCCAGGCTGGTCTTGAACTCCTGACCTCAAGCCATCAGCCCACCTTGGCCTCCCAAAGTGCTGGGATTACAGGCGTGAGCCACCGCACCTGGCCCTCTGTGGTTATTTTGGATTTAATATTTGAGAAAGCCAGGGGAAGGTGATCCAAGAATTTCTTGTACCAGTTTTACAACATTTTTGTTAGCCTGAAATTATTCCAGAAAGGAAAGATAAAAAATAAAAATAAAAAATTTTTAAGGTCCGTAAACTCTGACCCAGAACTTCAAATTCTAGCAAGCTATACCATAGAAATAGTTGCATGTGGCCGGGCGTGTTGGCTCACGCCTGTAATCCCAGCACTTTGGGAGGGCGAGGCAGGCAGATTACCTGAGGTCGGGAGTTCGAGACCAGCCTGGCCAACATGGTGAAACCCTGTCTCTACTAAAAATACAAAAATTAGCCAGGCATGGTGGCATATGCCTGTAATCCCAGCCACTCGAGAGGCTGAGGCAGGAGAATTGCTTGAGCCTCGGAGATGGAGGTTGCAGTGAGCCAAGATTGTGCCATAGCACTACAGCCTGGCCAACAGACCGAGACTCTGTCTCAAAAAAAAAAGAAAAAAAAAATTCATGTAAAAACATGTTTGCTGAAGCACTGCTTATGAGAGTTATACATTGGAGCTGGGCACGGTGACTCATTCCTGTAATCCCAGTACTTTGGGAAGCCAAGGTGGGCAGATCACTTGGGGTCAGGAGTTCAAGACCAGCCTGGCCAACATGGCAAAACCCAGTCTCTACTAAATATACAAAACAATTAGCCAGGCATGGTGACGGGTGCCTGTAATCCCAGCTACTTGGGAGGCTAAGGCAGGGAGAATTGCTTGAACCAGGGAGGTGGGGGTTGCAGTGAGTTGAGATCATGTCACTGCAGTCCAGCCTGGGTGACACAGCAAGACTCCGTCTCAAAAAACAAAAACAAAAACAAAAAAAACCTGGAAATTTATACTGACCCCAGGATAGGCTAATTCTATCTTCCCACCAGCTAAGAAACCATCTTGTTTTCCTCTAACTTTTCCCCATTAAAATATTTTTGCCATTTCTAAGGTCTATGTTAGTGATTTGCAAGGCAAAGAAGTTTATCCCTTTTTCTACTAACTGGTGCACATCTCAGTTAACTGCACAGATGTGCTAATGATCGATTTTTACCTTATCTTGTACAGCGGGAGCTACAAACATATTATAATATTTAATCTGATTTTCTACCAATGTTTTTCTTTAACATAGGGCATTAACTCTTAAATGTTATCAAAATAATTATTTTTATTAAAAACAACTAAAACAAATGGATACAAGAAAAGCTATCAAAATACAGACAGATTTAAAAACCCAATTCTTTTGGCTACCTCTTTTCCTCAGAATTAGCAAAGAGTTCTATTAATGTGGATTTGACTCAGTTTTGACTTGATTGTCCTTACTCTGCTATTGTCACCAGTTTTTCTGTTGCTAACCTTTTAAAAACCATTTTGCCAGGTGTGGTAGCTCACGCCTGTAATCTCAGCACTTTGGGAGGCCAAGGCGGGTGGATCACCTGAGGTCGGGAATTCGAGACCAGCCTGACCAACATGGCGAAACCTCAACTCTAATAAAAATACAAAAAATTAGCCAGGCGTGGTGACACATGCCTGTAATCCCAGCTACTCGGGAGGCTGAGGCAGGAGAATCGCTTGAACCTGGGTGGTGGAGGTTGCGGTGAGCTGAGATCGTGCCATTGCTCTCTACCCTGGGCAACAAGAGCGAAACTCCATCTCAAAAACAAACAAACAAAAAAAACTATCTCTTCCTCCTTTTCCCCCTGCTTAATCCTATAACATACTTATAAAACATCTTAATGATATATAATTATTAGCCTAAGACTTTTATTTAGAAAAAAACATAGTGTAGTCCATATCTTCTGTAGTGAAATTTCTTACTTCAGCTAAGAAAAATTTTAAATTGCAAATGAAAGTTACTAAAATTTTACTTTATATTCCTTGACTCAAAGATTCACTTAAAGTATTGATTGGGACATGAACACAAACACCTACTGTAACATATAACTACGTATAAATATTATTCCAATCAACTACTTTACCTGCTCTCTTGACAATGATATGGGTGGTGCTGCAGTACATCCTGTAAGAAACGTTCCATCAAACTACTGGTACATATTTGACGTCTACTCTGTCTGGTCAAACTCCTGTGCTGAGCACTGAACAAATGCTATAAAGAAAAAAGAAATGGAATATTTTTAAATGGACAGTATTCAGTAGTGAGAGTTCGACAAAATGGATTCATTTCTATACTCTTGGTAAAATTATGAATTGAAAGCTTTTCTATAAAGCAATTCTGAAATTTGCATCTAAAAACCATAAAACTACTTTCCCTTAGGTAAAATAATGAGATTTCCCTAAGTACAGCCTAAGGAAATAGTCTTAAAGGTAAATGATTCATGCAAAAAAGATGCCATTATCATAGCATAACAAAAAACTGGAAACCTCCTAAGTTTCTAACAGTAAAAGACTTCAATTATAATAGGCTCTAAGATGTAATACTATGCAGCTATCTAAAATAATACAAAGAATTTTAAGTAACATGGGAAACGTTACATATTAAGAAAAAATGAGTGTGGTAGTGTGGCCGAGTGGTCTAAGGTGCTGGATTTAGAAAATTTTTAATAACATGGGGAAACGTTACATATTAAGAAAAAATGAGTGTGGTGTGGCCGAGCAGTCTATGGCGCTGGATTTAGAAAAAAATGAGGAATGCAAAAACCACACGTATGGTTTCATGTCAAACTACAGTTTAAAAACATACAGACAAGTAAATGGAAGAAATTACAGTAGTCCCCTATTATCCGCAGGGAATTTGTTCCAAGACCCCCAGTGGATGCCTGAAACGGTGGATAGTACCAAACCTATATATGTTTTTCCTTACATACCTATGATAAAGATTAATTTATAAACTACACACAGTAAGGGATTAATGACAATAACTGATAATGAAATAAAACAATTATAACAATATACTGTAATAAAAGTAAAATAAGGGTTACTTGAACACAAGCACTGTGATATCCAACAGTTGATCTAATAACCAAGACAGCTACTGAGTGACTAATGGGCAGACAGCAGGAATACGCTGGACAAATGGATGATTCATGTCCTGAGTGGGACAATGAGTGGCAGCGAAGGATTTCATCAAGCTACTCAGAATAACATGCAATTTATTTGCCCATTTATTTCTGGAATTTTCCATTTAATATTTTCGAGCCACATCTGGCTGTAACTGAAACCAACCACAGATAAGGGGGGACTAGTGTACACCAAACCTTACTAGTACAGATATCAGTGTGGTGCAGTTATGGGTAATTTTTCAATTTTTCTTATAAATTCTTATATTTTTCAATGAGTAAATGTTTTTTAAAATGAAAATCTGTTAAGAGAGAGAACAGGGTTGGATTATTGTATTAAAAGAGGTCAAAGATTGACAAAAAAGGTACCTTTATTTTCTTTCAGAAATTAAAAATCCCAACTTAAACACAAAATTAAAATAAATACACTAAATTTTTCAGTCTTGTAACTCTCTCTACAGTTAGAAAGATTCTTTCTTTACTAATATTATTTAGTGGAGTAGCAAGCAGAATGGGAAAAAGTCTACCTATGGGGCACCTATGATGTACCAAACACAGTGCTATTCCATTTACACAGTAATCTTCATTGACTTTTCACTGAGTAAGAATATCGTCCCCATTTAGCACGAAAAGACTAAGGCACAAAAAATTAGAGTAAACTGGGCTGGGCGCAGTGGCTCAGGCCTGTAATCCCAGCACTTTGGGAGTCTACAGTGGGCAGATCACCTGAGGTCAGGAGTTTAAGACCAGCCTGGCCAACAAGACGAAACCCTGTCTCTACTAAAAAATAAAAAAATAAAAATTACCCAGGCATGGTGGTGCTGCGCGCCTGTAGTCCTAGCTACTTGGGAGGCTGAGGCAGGAGAATTGCTTGAACCCTGGAGGCGGAGGTTGCAGTAAGCCGAGACTGCATCACTGCACTCCAACCTGGGTGACAGAGTGAGGCTCTGTCTCAAAAAAAAAAAAAAAAAAGAAAAGAAAAGAAAAAAAAAGAATTAGAGTAAACTGCCCAAAGTTTTATAATGAGCAAACAGCAAGGCCAGGATTTGAATCTAACTCTGAAGCTTATCCTCTTTCATTGTATTATGCTAGCAAATAGCAAATGGCATATTTCTAACATGTTATTTATAATTTAATAGTGCATTTTAATTTAACAATACTTAGAAAAGACATTTTAAAATATCACGGTAAAGGTGTTAAAGAACTTAAATCAGGTTGCTAGCTCCTGACCACTGTGTTACAACTCTTGGAATTATTTTCTTCCATGTTGACTTCAGAGGTCCATGCTAGTGCTCCTAGCCCCAGGAACAATCTAAATTATGATGCTTTCAAAATCCTGCTACGAAACTCTCCACTGTCCAGGACCCATCACCAGAGTTAGACTGCCTGGTGATTAAAGGGGACAAATGCACAAGGAAACAAATAAATATTCAGTTAAAATTCAACGTTACTGAATAAAGAATATGTGGTACATATACATCATGGAATACTACACAGCCATAAAAAATGAGATCATGTCATTTGCAGCAACATGGATACAGCTGGAGGCCATCATCCTAAGCAAATTTACACAGGAACAGAAAACCAAATACCACATATTCTCACTTTTAAGTGGGAGCTAAACATTAGGTACATGTGGACATAAAGATGGGAATAAAAGGCACTGGGAGACACTGGGTCAGGAGAGACAGGGCAGGGGGAAAGGGCTCGAAAAACTACCTATCAGGTACTATGCTCACTAGCTGGGTGATGGGATCATTTGTACCCCAAACCTCAGCATCACACAACATACCCACGTAACAAGCCTGGACATGTGTCCCCCCGAATCTAAAATAAAAGCTGAAATTACAAAAATAAATACTAAAATCCAACCTTGTCCTCTCTCTGCCAAGGCAAAAAGAAAAAAGCAATGTGAATAGAAAACTTCATTTACATCCTATAAGGTATCCGTTCCTTTAGATTTTTTGAATTGATGTATAACATAAAGTACACAAATCATATGCATACAGCTCAATCAACTATCACAAAGTAGACACATCCTTACCATCTATCCATAAAAAGTTGACAAGCATCCAGAAATCCCTGTAATGCCCCATCCCAATCCCTTCCCTTTTCCCCAAAAGTAACTATTACCTAACTTTTAATACTATAGTTTTGAAATTTTCTGAAATGTATATAAATGGAGTCATATAATATGTATGCTATTGCATTCAGCTTATTTTACTCAATATTATATATGTGATATTCATACATATTGGCTGAATCTGTTCATTTTCTTTTCTGCATATTCATTGTATGAATATGCCATATCTTATTTATTCATTCTACTCTTGATGGACATTTGTGTTGTTTCTAGCTTTTGGCTATTACTAATAATACTATGAAGAACCTTCTTGTATGTGTCTTTTGGTGCCAATGTGCATGCATTTTTGTTGAGTGCATTATTAGGAGTGAAACTTCGGGGTCATAAAATTTGCATATGTTCAGCTTTAGTACTCCCTACCGACCAGTCTTCCAAAGTGGCTGTACAAATTTATATTCCCTACCAGCAGTATTCCTATCTCCTTATCAACACTTGCTATTGTCAGTCTCTTTAATTTTAGCTATTGTAAGGATGTTTATTGTTATATCACTGTGGCCTTAATCTGTAATTTTTGCAATAGCTTTTCATATTTACTAGCCATCTGGATATCCTCTTTTACATTGGGTCTGTTCAAGTCTCTCTGTTTTTCAAATGGATGTTCTGTCTCTTCCTTATGGACTTGTAGAAATTCCCTATTCAGGACACCAGTTCTTTGCTCAATTATATGTGTTTCAAGTACCATCTTCCTCTCTGCAGCTTCTTTTCACTTTCTTAATCATCTTCCATTGTTTAACTTTATTGCAGTCCGGTTTTATCTTTTTTTCTTTGTCAGTGCTTTTTGTGGCCAGAAATCTCTCTTTACCATCAAAGTCATAGAGATTTTCTCCTGTTTCTAGAAGCTTTACTATTTTGGCTACAACATGTAGCCAAATCATAGTCTACTTCTAACTGATTTTTATATGCAGGGTGATTCGGCAATAAAGTTTCATTTTCCTCTCCATATGAATATTCAATTGACCCAGTATCATTTATTGAAGAAAGTCCTGTCCTCACTGCTGTGCAGCACCTTTGTCACAAATCAGACATCCATAAATGTGTCTGTTTCTGGAATTCCTGGTTTTTTTCCATGGTCTTTCTAACTCTGCAGCAAAACTGCACTATTTTAAAGACTAAAGACTAAAGTTTCATAAGTTTTAGTATCTGATAGAGGACATCTATTCACTTTGTTCTTAAGATTATCCTAGTTCTTCTGAGCCTTTTACTTTCCCACATTTATTTTTGGAATTGGCTTTTCATTAAAAAAAAATACTTCTCTGAGATTTTGATTGAAATTACATTGGATAAATATAACAATCTAGGCAGAACTGACATGTTTACAATATTGATTCTTCAATCCATGAACATGAAAATTTCTTTCAAGGTTTATAGTTTCTAGTTTAAAGATCTTACATTTTCTTATGTTTATTCCCTAGATTTTGATGTTCTTTGATGCTATTGTAAATGATTTTTTATCTCATTTTCTGCATGGTATCTGTATATAAAAATACACTTTCTTTTTACATTAGTGTAACAACCTTTTAAAATCACTTATTGATTCTAATGGTTTATCTAGATATCTTTTTAGTTTTTATGTCCACCATCATGTTGTGTATAAATAATAGTTTTATTTCTTCTTATCCAATCTTTATCATTTTTATTTTTCTTTCCTTATTTCTTTGACTAGGACCTCTGACAAAATATTGAATACAGTTGTAATTCAAGCATCAAACCTATTTTCACTTAATGTATTACTGATAGAGTTGTATTTAACTTTTTCAATCTGTTACTCTTGCCTATACAACTATCCCTTTTCCTCTCCTTTCTTGTCTTCTTGTGGACTACGTTTCATCATTTCAATTTTTCCTTTTCTGTTAACTCTGTAGTTAGTTACAGACTTTTCATAGTCTATTTTGGTAAGAGATTACAATGAGCAACCCTGAACTGTCAACGCCTAAAATTACTTGTTACTTTTATTCTCTTTATAAACAATGCAAAGTCCTTAGAAATTAACATCATTTACTCCCCTCCCAATTTATATGCCATTGTTGTTCATCCCACAAGACAGTATTCACTTAGATTGATTGCCTACATATTTACCTTTCCACTGTTCTTCATTACTTCCTGTATCTCTGAGCTTCCATCGGGAATCATTTTCCTTCTGCCTGAAGAACTCCTTTTTAGTTTTTCCTTTAGTGAGAGTCTGCTGGTGACAAATTCCCTTAATTTTTATTTCCTGAAAATAGTTTTATTTCACCTTCCTTATTAAAAGATATACGTATTGAGTAGAGAATTCTAGGTGGCAGTTGTTTTCTTTCTTTTGGCTTCCATTGTTTCTGTTAAATACTTCACTAGATATGGGCCCCATATTACTTCACTGCTTTTACAGTTCTCCAAAGCCTTGAAATACAAGGCTGCAAACATTGTCAACAAAATATTATTAATAGCAAACCAAATCCAGCAACATATAAAAAGGATTATACACCATGACCAAGTGGGATTTATCCCACAGATGCAAAATAAGTTTAACATCTGAAAACCAATCAATCTAACTGCTATAGGTTGAACTACATCCCCCCAAAATTCACATGTTAAGGTTCTAACCCCTAATATTTGGAGACAGGGCTTTTAGGAGGTAATTTAGGTTAAATGAAGTCCTAACAGTAGCGACATCTTCAATAGGATTGGCGGCCTTATAAAATAGGAAGAGAAATCGCCGTCTCCCTCTGCTACAGGAGGACACAGTGAGAAGGGCTGTTAGGTATTGGTCTGTGGCCTGCTAGGAACTGGGCCACAGAGCAGGAGGTGAGCGGCAGGCAAGCAAGCGTTTCCACCTGAGCTTCACCTCCTGTCAGATCAGTGGAGGCATTAGATCCTCATAGGAGCGTAAACTCTATTGTGAACTGTGCATGCAAGGGATCTAGGTTGCGTGCTCCTTTTGAGAATCTAATGCCTGATGATCTGAGGTGGAACAGTTAAATCCCAAAACCACCCCTCCACCCCATCTGTGGAAAAATTGTCTTCCACGAAACCAGTCCCTGGTGCCAAAAAGGTTGAGGACCGCTGATTTAAGCTACCTAGTCTATCGTATTTTATTATGGCAGCCTGAGCTGATGAATACTGTAATATATTACATTAATAGACTAAAGGAAAAAAACACATACATCTAATAGTTGCAGAAAAGCATTTGACAAAAGCCTATACCCTTTCATGATTAAACACTTAGCAAATTAGGCTAAAACCCACAACTAACATCAAACTTAATGATGAAAGACTGAAAGTTTTCTCCCAAGATCCAAAAAAAACCAAGGATATCCATTCTCACTACTTTAACACTCATCATACTAGAAATTCTAGCAAGAGCAATTAGGCAAGAAAAAGAAATAATGGCATCCAGATTGGGGAAAAAAGTAGTAAAACTATTTGGAGAGAACATAATGTAGTACATAGAAAATCCTAAGGAATCTACAAAAAAAATTATTAGCATTAATAAACAAGGTCAGCAAGGTTGTATGATACAAGATCAATATTTAAAAATCTATTGAAGCTCTCCATACACTTGCAATAAACAATCCAAAATGAACTTAAGAAAACAATTCCATTTACAATAGCATCAAAAAGAATAAAATGCTTACGAATAAATTTAGCATAAGAAGTGTGAAACTTGCACATTGAAAATTACAAAACACCACTGAAAGATTTTAAAGCTCTGCGTAAATGGAAATACATACCTCTATTCATGGATTGGAAGACTTAATATTAAGATATACATTCCCCATGAATGTATCTACAGATTCAACACAATCCCTATCAGAATTCCAGCTGCTTTTCTGCAGAAACTAACAAAGTGATCTTTAAATTCACATGGAAATACAAGGAACCAAGAATAGCCAAAACAATCTTGAAAAAGAGGAACAAAGTTGGAGGACTCAAATGTCCTGATTCCAAATTTTGCTACAAAGCTACAGTAATCAAGACTATGTGGTGCTGGCATCAGAGAAGATATATAGATAAATAAAATGGAACTGAAAGTCTAGAAGTAAACCTTATATTTATGGTCAACTGATTTTCAACAAGGATGTCAAGGCAATTGAATGTGGAAAGGATAGTCTTCAACAAATGGTGCTGATACTACTGTATATCACATGCAAAAGAATAAACTTGGAAAAAGATGGCCAGCACAATGAACAAACAACTATATTTTAACAAAAACAACTGAAGAAGGGCAATGGAGTGCATCAGAGGAGAAACAGAAACCAGGGTGAGCATAGAACTCAGAATGGCAACACAGAGAGCAGAAGGGAATGCCAGGCCTCCACCACCCCATTCCCAACTGGGATCAGCTGGGAACCAGGAAGAACTTCTCTCTATAGCAAGGAGGCAAGCAAGAGGATCCCAACAACCAACCCCCATTAACACCTTGGACACCTACAGACCTCACCCCTGCAGTCCCCACAGGGACAAAGACCAGCTGAGGGAGCCGTCTGGGGTCAACACCACTGTGTTCCCCTGAGAGAAGAAGCCAATACTGTGCCCTGACCCCTGTGACCCATGTGGCTACACCATCTTGCAAGTGGAACTATGGCTGAAACGTGTTTTGCTCCATTGGCAAGTAGCCATGGCTCCCTTTTGTCCCTGAGGCTAAGCCACTGCTGAATCATCCCAGCCCGGTGGCCTCACATCCCCAGGCCAAGCTACAAACAGTGGTTAAACCCTTCCTCATAGAACCAAGAAGAAGTGAAGCCACTTCACCCACCTCTCCTCTCACCCCATCAGGCTGGAGCTGAAGTGGTACCCTGCCTCCCAGAAAAATAGTACCTCAGCGGCTCAAAGAAGTCATGCGTCCCCAGTGCCTAGGTTGAAGTAGCATCCTGAATTGCAGGAAACTGCCTTACATATTCAGAGTAGTCACACACCCCAATACCTAAGCTGAAGTGGCACCTTGCATCCCAGAGAAATGGCCGCCAGGAACACTCACGCCACTGTCCCCCAACCCCGCCCAAACCTGAACTGAAGCAGCACATTGCCCCCTGGGGAAATAGTGTCCTGGCCAAGCTGAGCAGCTGTGCACCCCAGGGCTGAGTACCTCATGTCCCAGGGAAACAGAGCAGTGGCTACGCTTAGACACCTCATCCTACTAGCCAAACAACTCTAGTACTCTGCTTTCCTAGACCAGACTAGACCCCTAGAGTCTGAGCTGCTGAGACATTCATTTACCTGGGGAATGGAGTCATTGTTGTACTGTTCCCTGCCCTACCCTGGGTCTAAACAACAGCTGTGTATCTGCTGCTGCTGAGTCCCACCATCCCAGTGTCTAGAGTCACTACTACACAATGCCTCATCCCCTGAGACCTAAGTTGCCACTGAGCTCTGAACTGCAGCCACACCCTGCTCCCCAGGATCAAACCTCCAGAGCAACTATTTTTCCCTGGAGTCAGGTCAGTGCTGTGCCCTGCCCTTCAGGGGTAGAATCTCAGCTACGACCTGATGCCCTGGGCCCCAGCTACTAGGGGGTGCCTAAAAGTTACAGGTCCTGGCTCTGTGGGCAACCTACATCCAACCCCACCAAAGAGCAAATCTGTACCCCAAGATCCAAGTGCAACAATAGGTTCATAAGCCTATGAGCCTAGGACCCTGGTCCCACAACCACTCCAAGCACCTGCAACCGGAACACAGTGCTACTAAAGCTGCTTGCTTATAGGCCACGTCACACCTAACACCAAGAGGGATCTACTCAGTTAAGTCTCCCCATCGTAATGAAAACAAGAACAGGTGGATCCCAGAAGCCCTTGACATCAAGGACATTCACAGCCTATGCTGCTGCCACTGCCACAAACTTCTACAGTGTAGGCCACTGAAGTGCCCACAGTTATTGCTGATGGTGAACACAGCTGAAGAAACTGAATGAAGACTATATACCACTGCATCTATCTAGCAACAGAGTAACCACACTCTCCCAACTAGAACATTAAAGCCCAACTGCAGGTAAAAGTTATAAAAGTTATTCAATATGAAAGCCACTCCAGAAAGTATGGAAGAAGTAACTGTTCCACCAGATGCAGAGACATCAATGCAGGGACATAAGAAACATAAAAAAGCAAAGAAATATAACATCACCAAAGGAACATAACTTCCTCATAAAAATAACCCAATGAAAATAAACTAATTTCTGAAAAAGAATTCAAAATAAAGATCTTAAGGAAACTCAATGAGAGACAAGAAAATATATATAGACAATTCAACAAAATCAGAAAAACCATTCACAATATGAACAAAAATTCAACACAGATAAAAATCATAAAAAAGAACCAAACAGAAATCCTACAGCTAAAGAATTCCATGAACAAAATAAAAAATACAATACAGAGATTCAATAGCAGATTTGATAAAATTGAAGAAAGAAATCTCTGAATTTTTAGATCAGTCATTTGAAATTACCCAGTCACAGGGAAAAAAAGAAATAATGAAAAAGAGGTGAAAAAAACCTACAAGACTTATGGGACACCACTGAGTGAACAAATATTTGTGTTATAGGAATCCAGATGGGGAAGACAAGAAGAAAGGCATAGAAAACCTATTTAATGAAATAATAGCCAAAAACTTCCCAAGTCTATGGATATCCAGATATGAGAACCTCAAAGAATCCCAAATACATTCAACCCAAAAAGGTCCTCCTTGAGGCACATTATAAACTGTCAAAGGTCAAAGACCAAAGATGGAATCTGAAAAACAGCAAAAGCATCAAGTCACATATAAGGGAATCATCGTTAGACTAACAGCAGCTTTCTCTGCAGAAACTTTACAGGCCAGCAAAGAATGGGATGATATATTGAAAGTGCTAAAACTACTCCAACAGCCAAACAATACTATACCCAGCAAAGCTATCCTTCAGACATGAGAGAAAAATCAAGTCTTTCCCAGAGAAACAAAAACTGAAGGAATTCATCACCGCTAGGCCAGGCTCACAAGAAATGCTCAAAGGAGTCCTACATCTGGCAAGCAAAAAAGACAATAGTTACTTTCACAAAAACATCCAAAAGTATAAAAACTCACTGGTAGAACAGACATGCAAAGGAGAAAGAGAAAAGACATCCAACCCCACCAAAGAGCAAATCTGTACCCCAAGATCCAGGTGCAACAATAGGTTCATAAGCCTATGAGCCTAGGACCCTGGTCCCACAGCCACTCCAAGCACCTGCAACTGGAACACAGTGCTACTAAAGCTGCTTATAGGCCATGTCAGACCTAACACCAAGAGGGATCTACTACCTACTTACTACAGAAAACCACCAAACTGCAACGATAAGACAGAAAGAAAAAATAAAGCACACATAAAACAACCGGAAAGCAATTAACAAAATAACAGAAGCAATTCCTCGCATATCAATAATCATTTTGAATTTAAATGGATTAAATTCCCCACTTAAAAGATACAGTTGGGCTGAATCGATTTTAAAAATCATGACCTAACAATACACCGCCTACAAGAAACTAACTTCACCTGTAAAGACACATATAGATGGCTGGGAACAATGGCATGCACCTGTAGTCCCTGCTACTAACGAGGCTGAGGCAGAAGGATATCTTGAGCACAGAATTCAAGGCCAGCAAGGACAACATGGTAAGACTCCATCTCTTTTATTTTTTTTTTTTTAAGACACATATAGACTGAAAGCAAAGGGATGGAAAAAGATATTCCATGCACTGGAAACCAAAAGTGAGGAGGAGTAGCTACATTTATGATAGATAAAACAGACTTTAAGTCAAAAACTGTAAAAAGAGACAAAGAGGGCCATCATATAATGATAAAGGGATCAACTCAGCAAGAAGATAAAACAACTATAAATATATATGTACTCAATACCAGAGCACCTAGATAAATAAAGCAAATACTATTAGACTGGCTGAGGACTTGATTATCACACTCTCAGAATTGGACAGATCATCTAGATAGAAAATCAGCAAAGAAACACTTGATTTAAACTGCATTTTAGACCAAATAGGCCTACCAGATATTTACAGAAGATTTCAACCAACAGCTACAGAATACACATTTGCTTCATCAGCACATGCAACATTTTCCAGGATAGGCCACATATTAGGCCACAAAGAGGTCTCCAAATACAAAAGAATTGAAATTATATCAAGTATCTTTTCTGACCACAATAGCATAAACTAGAAATCAGTAACAAGAGGAACTTCTGAAAATGTACAGATATGAAACAAAACAGAAAACCCAGAAATAAATCTATGTATTTGCAGCCAACTGATTTTTGACAAAGGCACCAATACCATAAGTTGGGGGAAAGAACAGCTTCTTTAATAAATGAAGCTGAGAAAACTGGATATCTATATGCAGAAAAGTGAAACTAGACCCCTATCTCTCACCATACACAAAAATCAACTCAAAATGTATTAAAGACATATATGTAAGCCCCAAAACTATGACACTACTAGACGAAAACACAGGGGAAATGCTTTGGGACAGTGGTCTGGGCAAAGATTTTACGGAAAAGACCTCGAAAGGACAGGGAACAAAGCAAAAATAGACAAACTGGATAATATCAAACTGAAGCTTTTGCACAGCAAAGGACAATCAACAGAGTGAAGAGAGACTTCAACAGACTGAAGAATGGGAGAAAATATTTGCAAACCATTCATCCAAAAGATGATTAATACCTGGAATATGGAATACTCAAACAACTCAATGACAACAAAAGGAAATAATCCAACTTAAAAATGGGCAAATAAGCTGAAAAGACATCTCTCAAAAAGTCATATAAATGGCCAACAAGTATATTAAAAAATGTTCAACATCACTAATCATCAAGGAAGTGTAAATCAAAACCACAATGAGATATCATCTCACTTCAATTAGAATAGCTATTATCGAAAAGACAAAAAATAACACACTGGCAAGGATGCAGAGAAGGGAATTCTTACACACTGTTGGTGGGAATACAAATTATTATAGTCATTATGGAAAAGAGTATAAATGTTCTCAAAAACCTAAAAATATAACTACCATATGGTCCAGCAATCCTACTGATTAGGTATTTATCCAAAGGAAAGGAAATCAGTATATCAAGGAGATATCTGCATCCCCATGTTTATTACTACAGCACTGTTCACAATAGCTAAGATATAGAATCAATCTAAGTGTCCATCAACAGATAAAAGAAAAAAGGGGCCAGGCGCAGTGGCTCACGCCTGTAATCCCAACACTTTGGGAGGCTGAGGCAGGTGGATCACCTGAGGTCAGGAGTTCGAGACCAGCCTGGCCAACATGGTGAAACCCCATCTCTACTAAAAATACAAAAATCAGCCAGGTGTGTTGGTGCACTCTTGTAATCCCAGCTACTCGGGAAGCTGAGGCAGGAGAATTGCTTGAACCCAAGAGGCGAAGGTTGCAGTGAGCCAAGATCATGCCACTGCACTCCAGCCTAGGTGACAGAGCAAGACTCCATCTCACACACACACAAAAAGGAAATGTGGTATATATACACAGTAGAATACGATTCAGCCATAAAAGAAGAAAATCTTGTCATCAAAGTTGTGCTCGTAAAACTAGAGAATAGAATGCTGATTACTAGAAGCTGGGAAGAAGTCAGGGAAGAGAAATTGGGAGAGGATAATTAATGAATACAAAATTAAAGCTAGATAGGAGAAATATGTTCTAGTTGTTCTAAAGTCCTATACAACACTGTAGGATGACTATAGTTAATAATAATTGATTGTAAATTTCCAAACAGTTGAAGAGAGGATTTTAAATGTTTCCAACACAAAGAAATGATAAAAGTTTGAGGTGATGAGTATGCTAATTACCAATTTGATTATTACACATTATACACATGTATCAAAATATCACACTGTACCCCATACATATGTATAATTATAAAAATAATAAAAGTAAACAAATCAATATAAATACATACATACATACATACATCCACTATGGGTAGCACAGGGAGAGCTCTGATGCGCATGAATTTTAACATGATTTCTATGAAACAGATTTAATTTTACAGACTCAAAAAAAAAAGTATAGCCCTATCTCACACCCTATACAAAAATGAACTCAAACAGATAAAAGACCTAAATGTAAGAGTAACTGTAAAACTCTTAGAAGAAAACATAGGCATAAATCTTCCATCCTGAGATTAGGCAACCCTTCTGACACCAAAAAACATAAGCAAAACAGCAAAATTTAAAACTTTTGTGCATCAAAACATAGCATCATGAAAGTAAAAAGAAGGCCAGTTGTGGTGGCTCACACCTGTAATCCCAAAATTTTCAGGGGCCAAAGCAGGAGAATCACTTGGGCCCAGGAGTTTGAGACCAGCCTGGGAAATATAGTGAGACCCCATCTCTACAAAAAATAAAATATTAGCTGGGTACGGTGGTGCACACCAGTAGTCCCAGGTACTTGGGAGGCTGAGGCAGGAGAACTGCTTGAGCCCAGGAGGCAGAGGCTACAGTGTGCCATGATCGCACTACTGCCCTCCAGCCTGGGCAATAATGCAAGACCCTGTCTCAAAAAAAAAGAGTAAGTAATAAGACAACCCACAGAATGGAGAAAGTATTTGTAAATCATACATCTGATAAAGGTCAATTATCCAAAATATATAAAGACTTCTACAACTCAACAATAAAAAGACAACACAATTAAAAATAGGAAAAGGATATGAAGAGGCATTCCTCTAAACAAGATATACAAATGCCCAATGAAAAGACACTATATGTCATTAGGGAAATGCAAATCAAAGCCAAAATGAGATACCATCTCACATCCACAAAGATGGCTATAACAACAACAACAACAACAACAAAAAACAAAACAGACAACAACAAGTGCTGACAAGAACGTGGAGAAACTGGAACCCTCATACATTGCTGGTGGTAAGGTACAGCCACTTTGACAAACGGTGAGGCACCCTCTCAAAAAAGTTAAACACAATTACCACATGACCCAACAATTCCACTCTACATGTAAACCTAAGAAAAGTGAAAGCATACGTCCACACAAAAACTTGTACACATATATCCATAGCAGCACTATTCATAACAGTCAAAAAGTAAAAACAACCCAAATATCCATAAATTGCTCAATGAATAAACAAAATGTGATATATCCATGCAATGGAACATTGTCAGCCATAAAAAGGAACGAGGTCGTGATGCATGTTACAGCCTGGATGAACCGTGAAAATATTACGCTACATTAAAGAAGCCAGACACAAAAGGCCACACAACGTTTGATTCCATTTACACGCAATATCCAGAATAAGCAAATCTATACAGACAGGAAATACACTAGCGGTTGCCAGGGGCTGGTGACAGAAGGGAGGAGTGAGTTACTGCTCAGTGCGTACAGGGTTTCCTTTTAGGGTGATTAAAATGTTCTGGAATTAGACAATGGTTGTACCACTTTGTGAACATAATAAAACATCACTGAATTATACACCTTAAAGGGTCAAGTTTATGGTGTATGAGTTATATCACAATAACAAAATTTTTAAATCTCTATACCAACTATTTTTCCCTCAGCAGCCAGAATGAACCTTTTAAAACACAAAGTAGACGATTTAACTCCTATGCTCAAACTTTGAGATGCTCTCCCATCTCACTTGAAATAAAATTCAAAGTCCTTACCTTAGCCTACAATGTCTTAAAGAATCGACTTCTCCGATTTGGGTAATGGGTATACTAGAAGCCCAATCCCCAGCAGGTATGCAATATACCCATGTAACAAACAAGCCCATATACCCCCTGAATCTAAAATACAGAATTGATTTGTCTGAATTCTTTGCCTATTACTTCTCACCCACCTCCCCACATCCATGCAGCCACCGGCCTCCTGGCTCTTCGTTAGTGTGCCAACCACTCTGTACCCTCAGGGTCTCTGTCTCTTCCCTCTACCTAGAAAATCTTTCCCCAGATAAATGCAAACCTGAGACCCAAACTCCAAATCTCAACTCAATGTCACTTCCTTAAAAAGGCCTTACCTGGCCACCCTACCCCTTCCCTATTTTGTTTTCCTCATAACATTTATCACAATCTCACGCATTATGTACTAAATTTATATATTATTTATCTTCTGTCTTACTATACTAGAATATAAGCTTCATGAAAAAAGAGGCTTGGTTTTTGTTCATGGTCATATCCCTAGAACCTTAAACAGTGTCTGCCAACTAATAGATTCCCAATATGATCTGTTCAATGAATAAATAAATTAATTTAATAAAATGTAAGAGAAAGTCACAACTAGGTCCTTTGAGATATTATCATATTAATAGAAACCGCTCACCTGTTCCAGGTTATTATACTGCACACGGCAATAACTGCAATATCCTTGTCTTTTCTGCATCTTGAATAAATAACTGAAGTCAGATGGCTACTGTCTTTGAATACTCAAGCTGAAAAACAAAAAGAAAAATGGTAAAAATCATAATTCCTTACTCTTATGAGGAAAATGGCTATGATAATTAGCAGAAAACAGAAATTCACTTCTAATAATTAGGAAAATATACAAGGCTGCCATGAGCCACTGAATAAATAAGTGAACCTGGAGCAGAGACAAGAACTATGTATCTTATGAAAGAGCAGTTTGTTGCCAATGTTTGAAGACTAGATGACTGAATATTTAGTTTTTCTAATAACTTATTAGAGATATTAGATATTGATTTAGTAACAAAGAATACAATATTCAATTTGCGAAGACCAATTACTTCTAAGATATTGTTATGGTATATTTACTATACTCTAATGGAGCTCATTAATTTCCCCATCATGTTTCCATATCAAACCCCAGATTATTTGACAACGTCTCATTCTCTGTTATCATGAGTGTAAAGACACCACATGGCATTTTCTGCTCAGCTCATAGAGAGGCAGGTTTTTAAATAATTTATCCAACACAGTTGCTAAAAATCAGAACAACTAATTTAGCCTCTGAAACACAAAACACTTTTCTTCTGACAATTATGTAAGCCAGATAAATAGGAGGGATTTTTTTCCTATTACTGTTTAGATTTCTCTACAAATAAATAGTTTTCCAGTTTCCACTCACCTAAAAGTATAATCCTTCAACATTACATACTGCATGGTTCCCAAACCAGGCTGAATACCCAAAATTTTAGTAGAGCTAGGGTGAGCCTAGGATTCAGAATTTTTAAAATTCCCCCAGTAATTTTCATGCCCTACCAATGTATTAACTGACACAATGTACATATAATTTATGATTATTTTAAGTAAAAAATTTAATGCAGTTTATTTGCTGCTTTGTTAAGCCGAAAACAGAATTACAAATAATTTTGTATTTCAATTAATTTAAGCATTCTTATCTGTTGGAAAATATATAACAATCATTCTATAACATGTTATGAGAATTTCTGCAATGGAAAAAATTTAATCATTAAAATCAATAACTGAAAAATGAAATCACAGCCTTAAAACCATAAGATGAGGGGAAAAAAGCTTCATTAAGTCAAAATGCTAGCATAATATTTACTTACCTATTACTTCTTATTATGAGAAATTGATTTTCTGACTTCTCACATTTATGAGGAAAATTAATCAATTAAACCAGCCTCTGACACAAAAAACATGTAAGACATTACTTACTTAAAATTTGGTCTCTTTTCCACTAATTTACTTCACTTATTAACCTACAGCAATAAAACAGAACAAACTTTTATTTTAAATTGTACTTACACATAAGGCAAATTTCAAGCTGAGAGAACCTAGAGCTTAAATGTAAACTTTGAAAAATCCTAAAATAAACTTTTGGGGGATTGAAAATATAATTAAAACATTCATTGAATAAAGGACAAAAGTAAACCATTAATCTAATATCACATACACACAAAATGTAAATACTTAAATATTTTTGGTCTTTAACCCTATGGCCCTTAACTCCTGTGGCATTATCACCTGCCACTTCCGTCATCTCTAGTGCCTTAATGACAGTGAGTTACAATAAACCAGAAGCATGTGTTGGCATTTTTAAAAATTAACATGCCAGGACCCCATCAGAAACTTAGCAAATCAAAATCCCAGTGGTCAAGGGAACCCAGGACATACGTTATAAAGCATATTTAAAATGCTCAAGGCAGCTGGGCATGGTGGCTCATGCCTGTAATCCCAGCACTTTGGGAGGCCGAGGCAGGTGGATCGCCTGCGGTTAGGAGTTTGAGAACAGCCTGGCCAACATGGCAAAAACCTGTCACTACTAAAAATACAAAAACTAGCTGGGTGTGGTGGCAGATGCCTATAGTCCCAGCTACTCGGGAGGCTGAGGCAATAGAATCGTTTGAACCCAGGAGGTGGAGGCTGCAGCATGCCGAGGTCACACCACTGCACTCCAGCCTGGGTGACAGAGCGAGGCTTTGTCTCGAAAAAATAAAATAAAATAGAATAAAATAAAATGCTCAAGGTGATTCTGCTGTAAGTTGACTCAATAACATAAGTCATTATTTTTTATAAACTAATAAAACTTATTTATTAAAGGGATCATTTCTTTAGGGTCTGGATTTATATTACTTTGCATGCCTAAATAGGTATTTTTATACAAACTCTGAATTCTCCTAGAACCTGATATTTTTATAAAGTAAAAAATTATTTACCTGGAGCAGAAAAGGTCAGGTATTTCATCAGCTGTATTAGTTCTGGCAAGTATCTGTAAATTAAAATAAAATCATTTTTTAGAAGAGGTCCCATAAGTGTCTACCATTGACCAAATAAATACATCCAGATATATTGTGAACGGTGACATGTTTCCAATAATATAAGAAAAAATATTAACTTTGGAGTACAAAGCACTTTACATACTATGACTCACTGAATCTCACACATGACCTCCTAAAGTTCTGGCGCAGTGACTGTGATGGCCCATCTAACCCACCATCAAACACTGCAGGTCTCTAGGTTCCTGGAACAGTAGCTGTAAAAGACTATAAGGCTCAATTGTGCCTCTGGTAAAGTTGAGAGCAAAAATGCTGTCAAACCCAAAATGAGCTTCATGAGAAACTTCCCGAGGCTCAGGTACCACGTTAGCTTTAATGAAAAATACTGTCAATTCTTTTAACACCTATCTATATCAATACACTATTAAGCAGAAGCATGTTTTTTATTCCTCCGCATTGTTGTAGGCAAAGTGCTGCTCCTTATCCAGGATCACTGGTTAAGAAAAAATTCCAACACATAGGCTCAAGAGAGCCAGTGACACCACGGTATAATCAAAGAATAACTATTAAGCACCCACTCAGCACAGAGTTCCATGCTAGAAACTTTAAGGGATAGAGACAAATATGAGACAAGTTTTCTTACCCTCAAAAAATTTAAAATGAAATTGGGAAATTAAAGCCAAAGAATGAGGTGCTGCCTAAGAAATGCCTCAGCAAAAATAATAAATGCTAATGAGTTCAACGCAAAGTTCAGTTTTAGCTAGAGCGGCGAGGGATGCCACTGTGGATACGGTTTTTTAACCAGATACTGGAAAATGGGTAGGATTTACTCACTCAAAGGTTGGGAAATGATACAACAAGCAAAGGTACGAAAGTAAGAAAATACAAAGTACATTTGGAGATAGTAAATTAATAAATTCAGCTGAATCTAAGGTTTCATTTGAGAATTTAAGGGGCAATAAACCAGGGCAAGTAGATTGGATTTTGACATGGTAGTATTCAAAAGCATACTAAAGAATTTAGACCGTATCTTTAGGCACTGTGGAAGTTTTTTTGGAAAGAGGTATTCTTGAGGGTGCTTTAAGAAAATTCTGGAAAAATGATTCTCTCCTACTCAAAGGAGCTTTTCAAAGCGTAAGGGATATAACTATTAACTACTCAGCACCATTTCCTAAAATACTGGAGAATTACTTAATTCCCGAAATCTCCAAGTTAAGAGTCAGTATCCCTTAAAGCATAGTCATGTATGCTTACAAAATAAGAAAATACACATTTAATTTTTCTTTAAAAAATGACTTTTATTAATTTTTATTACAAAAGTAAAGCATTTATAATAGTACAATTATAAAAATAAAGAGCATAAAAATCAGCCATAATCTACCCACCATTAACATGTATCGTATTCGTCTTTGTTCTAAACATATTTTTACAAAAATGGGAAGGTACAGTACATTCTATTCTATAGCCACCCTCTCTCACTGAACCACATATAATGAGCACCTTCATATACCATTATAAAATGCTATCATAAAATAGGAGAAAATAGAGTAAAATAAAATAGAATGTTTAATGATTGCATAGTATTTCATTTTGTCAGTGTAGATAAAAGCCCTGTCAAGACAAGAACCAGTAGTTGGTGGGTTAACTTCTTAAAGTCAATCAGTAAGATAATTTTTTAAATGCACACATAACCTTAATATTTAACTTAAAACTTCTAAATGTATATATGTTTAAGATCAAATGGGGCTTTTTTGTTTCATTGGTATTTTTAGTATGGGGACTGTTGCTTTTTTTTTTTTTTTTGGACAGATTAGCTAGAGTTTCGAGACATGTCTTTTCACAAACAACATCGTAATTCACCCGAGTTTCCATTTTTGTTCCTCTAAAGCAGAACAAAAATCTGAAGGCAGTTTCAAATCTGAGAGCAGAATTATCATCAATGTTAAACATTTTTCCCCAATGTCATACCCAGTTAAGTACTTTGCAAATATAGCCTTTTTATGAATCCAAAGCATTCTATTTATTTTTCATAAAAA